>NC_000007.14:94931021-95234051 GCF_000001405.40 Homo sapiens | reverse complement strand
TAGATGGCTTTTATTACCTTAAGGTATGTCTCTTCTATGCCTATTTTGCTGATGGTTTTCATCATAAAGGGATGCTGGATTCTGTCAAATGCTTTTTTCTGCATCTATTGAGATGACCATGTGATTTTTAAATTTTAATTCTGTTTATGTGATGTATCACATTTATTGACTTGCATATGTTAAATCATTCCTGCATCCCTGGTATGAAATCCACTTGATCATGGTAGGTTATCTTTTTGATATACTGTTGGATTCAGTTCACTAGTAATTTGTTGAGAATTTCTGCACCCATGTTCATCAGGGATGTTGGTCTGTAGTTTTCTTTTTTTGTTATGTCCCTTCCCGGTTTGGGTATTAGGGTGACACCAGTTTCAGAGAGTGATTTAGGAAGGATTCCCTCTTTCTCTGTCTTTTGGAAAAGTGTCAGTAGGATTGGTACCAATTCTTCTTTGAATGTCTGACAGAATGCAGCTGTGAATGTGTATGGTCCTGGACTATTTTTGTTGGCAATTTTTTACATTATTTTTCTTTTTTTTATTATACTTTAAGTTCTGGGATACATGTGCAGAACATGCAGTTTTGTTACATAGGTATACATGTGCCACGGTAGGCTGCTGCACCCATCAACCCATCATCTACATTAGGTATTTCTAATGCTATCCCTCCCCTTGCCCCCCACCCCCTGACAGGCCCTGGTGTGTGACATTCCCCTCCCTGTGCCCATATCTTCTCATTGTTCAACTCCCACTTATGAGTGAGAACATGTGGTGTTTGGTTTTCTGTTCCTGTGTTAGTTTGCTGAGAATGATGGTTTCCAGCTTCATCCATGTCCCTGCAAAGGACATTAAGTCATCCTTTTTTATGACTGCATAGTATTCCATGGTGTATATGTGCCACATTTTCTTTATCCAGTCTATCAATGATGGGCATTTGGGTTGGTTCCAAGTCTTTGCTATTGTGAATAGTGCTGCAATAAACATAGGTGTGCATGTGTCTTTATAGTAGAATGATTTATAATCCTTTGGGTATATACCCAGTAATGGGATTGCTGGGTCAAATGGTATTTCTAGTTCTAGACCCCTGAGGAATCACCACACTGTCTTCCACAATGGTCGAACTAATTTACACTCCCACCAACAGTGTAAAAGCATTCCTATTTCTCCATATCCTCTCCAGCATCTGTTGTTTCCTGACTTTTTAATGATTGTCATTCTAACTGGTATGAGATGGTATCTCATTGTCGTTTTGATTCACATTTCTCCAATGACCAGTGATGATAAGCTTTTTTTCATATGTTTGTTGGCCACATAAATTTCTTGTTTTGAAAAGTGTCTGTTCATATCCTTAGCCCACTTTTTGATGGGGTTGTTTTTTTCTTGTAAATTTGTTTAAGTTCCTTGTAGATTCTGGATATTAGCCCTTTGTCAGATGGATAGATTGCAAAAATTTTCTCCCATTCTGTAGGTTGCCTGTTCACTCTGATAATAGTTTCTTTTGCTATGCAGAAGCTCTTTAGATTAGTTAGATCCCATTTGTCAACTTTGGCTTTTGTTGCTATTGCTTTTTGTGTTTTAGTCATGAAGTCTTTGCCTATGCTTGTGTCCTGAATGGTATTGCCTAGGTTTTCTTCTAGGGTTTTTATGGTTTTAGATGTTACGTTTAAGTCTTTAATCCATCTTGAAATAATTTTTGTATAAGGTGTAAGGAAGGGGTCCAGTTTCAGTTTTCTGCATATGGCTAGCCAGTTTTCCTAACACTATTTATTAAACAGGGAATCCTTTCCTCATTGTTGGCAATTTTTTTTAATTACCATTTCAATCTCTCTGCCTGCTATTGGTCTGTTCAGAGATTTTTATATCTTCCTGGTTTAATCTAGGGTGATTGTATATTTCCAGGAATTTAAACATCTCCTCTAGATTTTCTAGTTTATGCGTGTAAAGGTTTTCATAGTAGCCTTGAATGATCTTTTCTATTTCTGTGGTATCAGCTGTAGTATCTCCCGTTTCATTTGTAACTGAGCTTATCTGGATCTTCTCTCTTCTTTTCTTGGTTAATCTCGCTAGAGATCTATCAATTTTATTTATCTTTTCAAAGAACCAGCTTTTTATTTCATTTATCTTTTGCATTTGTTTGTTTCAATTTGATTTAGTTTTGCTCTGATCTTCATTATTTCTTTTCTTCTGCTGGGTTTGGGTTTGGATTGTTCTTGTTTCTTCAGTTCTGTGAAGTGGGACCTTAGATTGTCAGTTTGAGCCCTTTCAGACTTTTTGATGTAGTTATTTAATGCTATAAACTTTCCTCTTAGCACCGCTTTTGCTGTATCCCAGAGGTTTTGACAGGTTGTGTCACTATTATCATATAGTTCGAATAACTTTTAAATTTCCATCTTGATTGTTGACCCAACAATCATTCAGGAGCAGGGTTATTTAATTACCATGTATTTGCATTGTTTTGAGGGTGCCTTTCAGAGTTGATTTCCAATTTTATTTCACTGTGGTCTTAGAGAACTTGAGATAATTTCAATTTTCTTAAATTTACTGAGACTTGTTTTGTGGCCTATCATAAGGTCTATCTTGGAGAAGTTCCATGTGCCGATGAATAGAATGTATATTCTGCAATTGTTGGGTAGAATGTTCCACAAATATCTGTGAAGTCCATTTGTTGTAGGGTATAGTTTAAGCCTATTGTTTCTTTGTTGACTTTCTGTCTTGATGACCCACCTGTCTAGTGCTGACAGTAGAGTATGAAAGTCCCCCACTATTATTGTGTTGCCATCTATCTCATTTCTTAGGTCTAACAGTAATAAATTTCGGAGCTCCAGTGTTAGCTGCAAATATAGTTAGAATTGTAATATTTTCTTGTTGGACTAGTCCTTTTATCATTATATAATTTCTCTCTTTGTCTTTTTTTAACTGCTGTTGCTTTAGTTTGTTTTGTCTAAGAATAGCTACTCCTACTTGCTTTTGGTGTCCATTTGCATACGGTATCTTTTTCCACCCCTTTACCTTAAGTTTATGTGAGTCCTTACGTGTTAGGTGAGTTTCCTGAAGACAGCAGAAACTTGATTGGTGAATTCTTATCCATTCTGCCATTCTGTATCTTTTAGGTGGAGTATTTAGGCCATTTACATTCAATGTTAGTATTGACATGTGAGGTACTATTCTACTCATTGTGCTATTTATTGCTTGAATACCTTTTTTTCTATTGTGCTATTGTTATAAAGGTCCTGTGAGATTTATGCTTGAAGAAGGTTCTATTTTGGTGTATTTCGAGGATTTGTTTCTCTTTGTTTTGGGGAGGTTTTCCTCAATTATTCCCTCAAATATCCGTTTTCCAAACTTTTAGATTTCTCTCCTTCCTCAGGAACACTAATTATTTTTAGTTTGGACATTTAACATAGTCCCAAACTTCTTGGAGGCTTTACTCATTTTTTAAAATTCTTTTTTATTTGTCTTTGGTGGACTGGGTTAATTTGAAAGCCTTGTCTTCAAGTTCTTTCTTCTGCTTGTTTGATTCTACTGCTGAGACCTTCCAGTGCATTTTGCATTTGTGTGTGTCCTTGATTTCCAGAAGTTGTGACTGTTTTTTTATTTATGCTATCTATTTCACTGAAAAACTTTTTTCATTTCTTGTATTATGTTTTTGATGTCTTTAAGTTGGACTTCACCTTCCTCTGGTGCCTCCTTGATTAGCTTAATAATTGACCTTCTAAAATATTTTTCTGGCAATTCAGAGATTTCATCTTGGTTTGGATCCATTGCTGGCTAACTGGTATGATCTTTTGGGGGTGTTAAAGAACCTTGTTTTGTCATATACCAGAATTGTTTTTCTGATTCCTTCTCATTTGGATAGACTACATCAGAGGGAAGATCTGGGATTCAAGGGCTACTGTTCAGATTCTTTTGTCCCACAGTGTGCTGCCTTGATTTGGTGTTCTCTCCCTTACCCTAGGAATGGGGTTTCCTGAGAGCTGAAATGTAGTGATTATTTTTGCTTTTCTGGATCTAGCACCCAGTGGAGCTACCAGGCTCTGCACTGGTACTTGGGAGTATCTGCAAAGAGTACTGTGATGTGATTCATCTTCAGGTCTTGTAGCCATGGATACCAGCACCTGCTTTGATGGAGGTAGCAAGGGAGTGAAGTGGACTCTGCAGGGTCCTTGGTTGTATTTTTATTGAGTGTGCTGGTCTTGTATTGGTTGGATTCCAGCCAGGAGTTGGCACTTTCAAGAGCACATGAGCTGGGGTCCTATAGGGAGGATGCAAATTTGCCCTAGGAACACCTGGTCAAGTATTCAGGTTTCTCAGGCAGTCAGCAGGGCCACAGAGCTCCCAAGAGATTATAACCTTTGTCTTCAGCTACCAGGGTGGGTAGAGTAAGACCACCAGGTTGGGGGAGGGACAGGAGTGTCTTAGCTCAGTCTCTCCTTTGGTGGGGCTTGCTATGGCTGCTGTGGGGGAGGAGGTTGTGGTTCCCAGTCCAATGGAGTTATATTCCCAGGGGGATTATGGCTGCCTCTGATGAGTCATATACGCCACCAGGGAAGTGGGGGAAAGCCGGAAGTCATAGGCCTCACTCTGCTCCCACGCAGCCCAGAGTCCTAAAGGCCAGTCTCACTCCCACCGTGCCCTCCACAACAGCACCAAGTCTATTTCCAGGCAGCTTATGACCAGGGCTGAGAACTCACCCTAAATCACGAGCTTCCCTGTTGAGAAAGCAAGCAGACTCACACTTTTTTGGCATTTTAGGGAGCCTGCAGCGGTGATCCAGTTCCTTCAAAAGGTCTGTGGATTCTCTTGGCTTTCCTGGTATTTTCCTGTGGTAGTTCTTGGGGCAAAAGTTCACAATGTGAGTCTCCACATGCTGTTCTGTCCAACCAAGCAGAAGCTGCAGCAGTTCTCCCTCCTACCTGCCATCTTAATCCTCCCAGTTTTTGTTTATTTGAGATGGGGTCTTGTGTGGTTCTGTCACTCAGGCTGGAGTGCTGTGGCAACCTTCATTGCTCATTGTAACTTTGAACTCCTGAGCTCAAGCCATTTTCCCACCTCAGCCTCCCAAAGAACTAAGATTATAGATGTGAGCCAGCATGACTGGCCATGTGGCAGCTTTTATTTAACCCACTCCAGTAATATGTCCTGTTACTTATAGCTCGATACTTAGGTAACTTATGTATGTATGTGACTTATATAATGAATAAAGGGCACGATAAAATTTTAGGGAGGATGAGAAAAAAGGCTTGAATTAAACAAATATATTCCATGAACTTGGATTAAAAGATTCGATGTGATTTTTAAAATGCCAGTTCTCTAGAAATTTACTAGTTTAACATAATTACAACAAAAAATGCAGCGTATTTTTCAAGGGTATTTATAAAGTGATTCAAATATTTTCTTGAATAAGTTGAAAAATAAAGGCATTTTTGAAAAGTTGGAATGATGCGACTTAGCTCATCAATATTGACGTATATTCTAATAGTATTGCACTGAAGAAAAATGAGAAGATGGAGCAGACTATGAAGCCATAAGCAGTTCAGAAGGTAAAGGCACAAATTCTTTAGATAATAATGTTGGCCCTCCCACCAAAGGGAAATTGGTAAAGGAGCATTTAATAAAAGGGCTAGCCAACTTTTGTTGGCTATTTGGAAACATTAAATTGGGTACATGTCTTATATCATACAACAAATTCCAGTATATGTTTGACACCATTCATTCCATAAATATTTCACCACTAACTATATGCCAAGAATTGTACAAAGACTGAGGACATGATAATAAGCAAAAACATGCGAGCTTTGAGTTTAGCAGGAAGATAGATACAAAACAGGCCCAAAGTATGACTGATTGAGATAATGTCAGTCTAATGTATTTTGCCCGAGTAGTAAAACACATACTTTTGCTTAAAATAATTAAGACAATCCTGTAACATGAAACTTTGTAAAGACTCTAATACAATATGATCCTTCACACTCACCCCAAGTTTTGTGGATGATCCTGTGAAAAGTGCCCAGTGCTATATAATATTTGGACATGTATATTAATCACATAAAGAAATTTAAGACTATGATAGTGACAGTGTACAAGATACAAATGTCACAAAAGAGTGCCACACAGGTGATACACAGGGGCAATATTCTGAAGAAATGAATATATTAATGTTAAATGTAAAACAAAAGAGGATAAAAGAATTGTTAAGTGGAACGATGTGATATTGCCTGTTATTGAGGTGAGGATGAAATTCCAATTCTTAGAAACCAAAACTAAAATAAAGTTACAGATCTGGTTACTCAAGCTAAAAATAAATCAGCCACATTACACAGAATGAATCGAGATCACACAGCAGTCTACACCAGGGTCAGTAACATTTTTCAGTAAAGGGCCAGAAAGCAAATAATTTAGGATTTGCAGGCCATACAGTCTCTATTGCAACTACTCAACTTTGCTGTTGTAGTATGTTATCAGCCACAAACAATAAAGAGATGGGCATGCTTGTGTTCAAATAAAACTTTATTTATAAAAAGTAGCCCAGATTTGGACAATGTATCATAATTTGCTAACCCCTGGTCTAGATCACTCTACACAATGGTGCATGCTTAAAACAATATTTATGGAACTTTGAGTCCTTAGCTCAATTTTGAAAATGGAAGATATAACTTTCCATATATTATCTGTGCCCTGTAGGCTCTTCACCTCCCATAAAAGAATGTGGACCCTTCTTCCAGCTCAATTATCTACCAAAGACTAGGGGTCATACTCAACTGGTAAAATGAAAGAGCTGTATTATAGGCTTTCGCCAGGGAATACTATTTTGATCTCACTGCCTTCAATATTTGTTAAAGTTGGGTTGTGAGTTAAAATATTCTTAGAGAACAAGTCATCTACCTACTTTTCTTGATAACTTATATTCTTTGGCCAAATAAGGGCTGCAGAGAAACAGGTAACTAGATTACACCTCTTTCTCCCACTCAGCCACTTTCTGCAGACCTTTTCTTTTTCTGCATTGCTCTTTGGTTTGAAGATATCAGTTAATTTAGAAAGTCTTTAGAAGAAATGAACAAGTTGTAAATAATGACACATTTCTCTTCAATGATGGAGGATACTCTTCCAAAACAATGAAGGATAGATAAACTGCTTTGGGACCTATTAATCACTGTTTCTGTTTTACATGTGTCATGGTTCTGAGAAGCTACTTTGGAAGAGTTATCCACATTTCCTCTCCCAAGGTTCTATTCTTGGCCCTTCTCTGAGAGCACATTGCCTCAGGAGTCTGATCTCTTCAAACTCTGAGACTGCATCACCATACTCCCTTGCCTGGGTTTGGAAGCATCAGCAGAAAAGGAAAGCAGAGTCAGGGTGTATTCTTACCCTTGCCCCAAGGATGCAGCTTTTACCAGTGGCTGTGCATCTTATAAAGCTGCAGATGTTGATGGTAACAGCCTCCTGCTGTTGCCAGTCCCTGTGCACTTCACCACCCCTTGTTAGTACTATTAACTCTGTTCAAAGTCTGTGTATTAAACTCTCTTCAAGTAAACCCTTTGGGTATGCCATCTGATGCTTATTAGAAACCTATTTCATGAACAGAAAGACAAAAAGAGACTTTTTAGGAAGTCTCTGCCTTGAGAGAAAAGCTTATCACTAGTTACCAAAACTTCTGTAAAACTGAAAAAATATAACTTAAACATCATAAAACTGCACATTTAAGTTACTGCTTGAAATTATGGGCTACAGGTATGTCACTATGACAAATAAGCGTTTAAATCAATGACCGTGGAACGAGATCTACTTAAATTCTACTTGAAATTCAATGAGACTCAAGACAACCTGTTATTAAAAAGCTTTGATTTGCAAACTGATTATTCTTAATATATTATTTGAACAGAAATATATACTTAATGAAATGGACAGGCATAAAGAAATATTTTGCAGCTTAGTGGCATACCTCTTTGAACTTGTGACTGAGCTTGCTTGTGTCCAGTTCTGATGGGGAAAACATGTCCTCATTCTCAGGCAGCTCAAAGACTTCAATGGCCATGTCGCTGCCAGGAAGGACAGGTCCTACCTCATCTTCTTCTTCATCTGTGGCATATTCTCCTGTCTGAAAGGAAGGGGATTTCAGAAATCCAGCTGTCCTTACCCCAGGTGGAGGTGAGTTATTTGAAAATATTTTATAAAAGACAAGTAAGACATGTACCCAAATGGTAAAAGTGTAAGTAGGTTTTTCAGCCAAGCATGCCTCATGCAGCCAATGTTATAAACAAATGTTAGTTTAAAGATCCAAAGTGACAAACCTATGCCATATACAAGTGCGTTTCTAAAAATCTACTAGTATCAGTGGCATCTTTAATACAGAAACAAGAGTTGTTTTTTCTGAGTATTTGATTATTTTACCAAATAAAATTATGTTGCTGAGGGAAATAAGTCATTTCTTTAAATTCTCTTTGTGAATACGCCACCCAATACTGAGAGCAATGAAAAGGGAAGGGGAGTTTAATGAATCACAGAGTTGGAAGGGACCTTAATTAAGCCTTGCAAAGGTTTAGCTGATTAATTCTCCTAAGCGTTAGAGTTCAAACAGTTCTGTTTTGTTTGCTTGTTAATTATTGTGGTGAACTAGTGAGCTAAAGAATAAACCAAAGGTTTCTAACTTGCAGCCTGCACCAAGTGTATTGTTTTGCCTGCCTAGCACATTTACAAATCTGAGTATTCTGTCAATGTGAGAAAAATGTTTCACATAAAGTTCTAGATTTCCAGCTTTCCTTGAGAAAGCCAAGCATCCGTTAATATTAGGCATATTGGGACATGATAACAATTGGCCAGTTAGTAGTGGTTGCCCCTTTTAGAAGAGTTATATGCTTTCTAATACCCCACAATTTTTCTAATGTCATATAGTTCTATATTGTTAGCTTCACTCCTTTGTAATACCCACCTGTCCCTGTAGGTATCTGAGTTCCTGACCCCTGGAATAAACATTCCTCTTTGCCACTAACTTCCTTAACTTTATTAGAAAGTAGATCCTCTCCTGGCAGCATCAAGCTATGATACTGTAATTCAAAATAATTGTTTGAAATCTATACCTTATGATATAATTTAAAGATAAATCACTGACAGGGTTAAAAAAACAAAGTTCATTGAACTCATCCCTGTTCCTTCAGGTAGCACGTTATCTAACACATAAAACAGAGACAGGAATTCATATTGCCTTTAAAAAACTTCCATGAACGGTGTACTGAATGATCTATTCCTTTGAGTAAATAGGCTCAGCATCTGATTGCTGTTTTTTTTTCTTTTGATTCTGTATTATATTCTTCCTGCCAAAGCAGGAGCCCCTCACTTCCCCTTTCCCCCCACCTATGTTTGCACGTGAAGGAAATCTGGTCCTTAATCCCAATCTAATAATTCCCAATGTCTGAAAGACCATTATTAAATTGCCTTCAGATTTCTCTTTTTCAAATAAAATAATTCTAGTTGCCTCCAAGGTAATTTGCTGTAATTGTCTTTGTGGTTGTGCTCTGATTTCTCTCCAACTTTTCCACATTTCTCTAAATTGCAGAGCCTGAAAGTAGACACAGTTTCTAGTAAGGAATTTGAAGGTCATCAACCATGATGAACACACTGCCACAGCATCCTTCACACTCTACCTCCCCACACAGAGGCTATTATCATGGAGAACTTGACATTGGTGGCATCTGTGTACAGAAGTAAGCTCAGAATATTCCATGTGGAGCAATGATTTTCCAAACTGGTTACAGGTTAGTTGGAACCTTTACTTTCCCCAAATATAATCACAGGTGATTTGACTGAAAGGAAAAGAGGTTGGTGGCCTCCAGTTGGATCCTATGTATCTCCTGAGTACCTGGAACTCTAGATCTCTGTAGAAATCAGTCTGAAAATGTCTAAACTATAAATACCAATTCAAGTGTCTTTGCCACTGGCAGGTGAAGGTAGCTGAAGAATGGGAGCTGGTTGGTCAGATAGCTTGTACTTATTTATTAGCACAATGAGATCCTACAAATCTTAAAAAACTCTAATTCCAGATTTGGCTTTTTTTTTTCTTTTGTATTCTTGAATCAATTCATCTCCTGTTCATACCCATTTCTAGAACCAACAAATACTTGGTAAATTCCAGTGAAGTTAATTAATAGGAATGCAGCAAGACTGGCAAGTAAATAATCTCAAGATACCTTGCTGAAAAATTTTCATATAGAGGTATAAAACTGTGTACTTGTTTTTAACCCTATCATTACAAATGGCAGCAAAACCCAAGCCTTTATTATGAAGGCTTAAACCAGGTATATAGAACTCACTATATACAGCATTGAATGACTCAAGAAACTCTTATGCTAAATTTAAAGTATGACTAAGCCCTAACAATGTGGCACGTTTTAAACATGAGTTGAAATGAACAATTTGATTTCCTTTTGCTAGCTTGAAAATAAATACTTGTTCACTACATGTGAGAGAATTAATATAAATATGTGCCTAGGATGGGACCTGACATATAACAGGATCTCAGCAAATATTTTTAAAAGAATAAATCCAAGAATGCCAACGCATTAACTTGGTAATAGACAGAACTTCCTAAGGAGATTTTCAATATCAAGAAAATGAACTGTGGTCACTTGTTAAGAAGGCAGTAGTATATTATACTAACAACCTTACTGTGAATAACAGGATTAGGGTATGCATAACATATGCAATTCTTACCTTTTAGCTGCACTTTGTCATCCATATACACTTTCATTATGAAAATTATCTTAATAAACATACGTTGTTAAGCGTTCTTCTTGATTCTTTTGTGGACTTTGCCAGTATCCTCTCCTTCCCAATACCCAAATTACCTGCAGTACTGTTAAAATTCTTATCACTCATTTCATCTTTTCATTTACTAATGCCTTCTTTCTCCAATTAGCCTTATAAGCATCCTGAGGACAAATATGTCTTTTGCTGTCTTGATTCTACTTATTACTTATTATAGGCTAAGGATGGCATGTTTAAAACATTATGTTATAACTCTCTCTTGCTGATCATTTGCCATTCCAACCTTAAATAGGCTTTAGGATGATACATTTACTACAGAATCTCATAAATACCTGGAAATAAAAAAGTTACACTTAGTGGACTAAGAAAAATAGGTTCTTCTAATATTTTATCTTTATTGAAAATGGAAATTATTTTTGTGGTTACACTGCAAATAAAATAAGTAACATGGAATGTGTCAGCAGAATGTTGTAAACCGCAAAATTAGATTGGATTAAATCTGCCATTTACAAAGGAAGATGAACAATGTTGTACCAAAAAAACCCAAAACCAACAAAACCCAAAATTACTATAACAAAGTATTTCCATTGGTATCTAGCTCTATTTCTGTTCAAATTAAAAATCTTTCAAGTAACCAGAGACTCTTGAAATTCTTTGTCCTAACACGCAAATCCACTTCAAATGTGGCAGTAACAGTTTTTTGGGTAAAAAACTGACAGAGATAGTAAATTTTCCCTTTCATGTCTTTACCTACCTTTCTGATTAATATATGATATTTTTAGTAGCCCCACACAAAGGGGTAAAAAATGAAGAGCAATACTTTTGCAACTTACTGTGTGCCCAGCATTGGACATTCCTCAACAACTATGGGATATGGGTGTTACCATACTATCTTAATTTGAGGAAACTGAGACTCAGAGACCATACCTAAGGTCAATTAATTAAGTTGTTGAAGCTGCATTCAACATATTTTAAAGCCCATGCTCCTTCTTTTATGCTATGATGCTTCCAGTCTACAGAAACTAAAGTTCTGCAGAAAAAAAAATTGGGAATATATTTTTTAATGATCCCATCCCCAAACCTGGGTGGATAATCCTGTTGTATTGAAATTCACCTTCCACGGCTTTAAACATTATCACTGAATTCACTTTGAAGACTTGCACCTCTGTATAGTGGGCTCCAAAGTTCTTGTCCTCTTCTCTTCTCTCATAATATGCTTACCCTGGACAAGAATATAGAATTCCCCTTTGAAAGAATCGGGAGCAGTACTTGTGGGTTAATTGCAATACAGAGAGGAATCGCTGACAAACAAACGAACACACACACATATGCATACCATTTTATGTTAACTTAAATCACAGAAGTATTCATTTATTTGCTCATCTTTTAATTGCAGGGCCAAGTCTTCCTCTTGGCTTATGGGTCTGCTGACTGACATTTTATGCACTCTTGTATAAACTACAACCATAACATATAGTGTATGAAATTACTGTAGCATCTTTAAAACAGATGAAAAAGATCCTTCCAAGGCAAAATGAATGCAAAATTTCTATAGAATTTTATGGTTTTCCCCTCTTTTATATTTCCTTCTCATACCTAATTTTCTTGAGCTGCCAGTCTTTATTAAATCTTCCCAAAGCACTGTATTTAGTTTTCATAGATACAACAACTTCATTTACACACATATTACATCACTTAATATTTTATAAAATAACATAATTATAGTAACAAGTACAACCAACAGGTTGTGTCTCTTGGTAAACATATAACTTTTGACTAGTGGGAGACGTATGTAGACATACTAGAGCCTGGGACACTCATGAGAGCTATAGATATCAGTCTAGGTTTTGCAGAAGGAACAGAGAGTATCTGTTATATTGGGGAGTTGGTTAAGTGGGGATCAATGAAAGGATTTTGGTTTTGAAGTCACGTAGAACTGTGTTCAAGTCCTGGTCCTGAGACATTGGGAATTAGCGTCTATATCTAAGCTTTAATCTTTTCATCTATAAAGTAAGGACAAAACAGTTCCTTAGCATAAGAAAGCTGTCATAAGATTAAGTTAGATGGTGCCTATGTATTTAACACAAGGTCTGGCACATGGTAGGTGCTCAAAACGAGTGACCGCTATTGTTGCTGCTGCTGGTGTCAAAATACTGCAATAGCAAAATGCTAACGATTTTCTCATCTGTATCTTGTAACCACATTTGCTAAACTTTGGTCTCATAAATGTAAGTTCCTAGAAGACCTCAACACATGAATCTTTTATAAGCAAATTGGTCATTTCTGAAGTAAAACTTTTCCTTTCCTCTATATATACCTGTTCCTCTACTTATATTCCCAGTTTGGGGTAGGCACCAGCTTCTACCCAAGCCCAAGAAAACTTCCATGCCTCTGTCCTCCTCATTTACTGGCCCCAACCTGCCCCAAGGATTCAAGATGAATAACCGTGTACATGAGAACATCCTGTGAAGCTGCTGCCCTTAAGACTCTCCTAATTCACTCCTTTATGCTCCCACTGTATAGCTGACATCACTCATAATGCTTTGATGTTTCTATATCTGCCTTCTCTCATCAACTTCTTTCATCTGAACATTCCTAGAGAGTGCCAGGTACAATTTATCCCTGCAATCCCGGTGTGGCTAGTACATTGCTTGGCATATAGTGGGCACTGAACAAATGTTTGCTGAATAAATTCAGATAGTTGTAGCCACATCTGCATAGCACAGTAGAGCCTGATTTTCCTGTTAATCTCAGCTTTCCAGGATGAAATATAGTGAAACACAGCTGCAGCTGGGGCCTAAATGACCCTTCTGGGGATTTTCTCTTGTTGTTAGGTTCAACCATTAGCAGTAATTTTTGCTGTAGCAATGTTTGCTCTGGTAAATTCAGGGAAACTAAATGGCGCTAATCACAAAAATAGCCTTAATTATGCAGTTTTTGATGGAATTTGTTTACCGGATTTGAATTTGGTGCTATGTATTTTCAGACGCACTTCTGTGAGAGAATAAAGGAGAGCTGCTTCTTCCCTGGAGGAGGAAAACGTCAAACTCACATTTTAATGTTTAAAATTCCTAAATCTGCACCAACCATCCAGAGGCCTTTCGGCAAAAACATCCCTCTCTCTGCCGAAGCATCTCTCTTTCCATTTTTTTGTCAGTGACTCCTGTGTGTCCTAATTTTATAATGTTAGTACACTTAGTCTCTTTGAATGTTGTTTCCTCATCTATAAAATGGAAATAACAGCACCTTCTTCATTTAAAGAGGTTGCTATGAGAATTCATTGTAGTGATATGAAAGAGTTAACCACAGTGCCTAGAATATGCTAACTGACTGCATGACGTTATGATTATGATTGTTTTCACCATCCCTTATTTCTCCAGGACAACACCATAAACTAATGCAACAAAAAAAGCATTTGGGGTTGGAGAGATGAGGGCCAGAAGAGAGAAAAATCCTAATGTCCCAGTTGCATAACAGTAAGTAAGTCATTTAGTTTGTATCTTTTGTGGTCTCTTCTATAAAATGGTGTAAAAGATACCAATCTCATAGGATATTGAGAGGATTCGAAGAAATGAAATATGCAAAATATCCAAAATGATGCCTGGCCCAGCATATATATTTATTTTTTTCTCCCACTTATCAACTCATTCAAAATTTTCTTTTCAATCTTTTGTTATCAGAATATTTCCTGATTTTATCTGAAAGTGACAGGGAGAATGGAACCAAGTTGGAAAACACTCTGTAGGATATTATCCAGGAAAACTTCCCCAATCTAGCAAGGCAGGCCAACATTCAAATTCAGGAAATACAGAGAACGCCACAAAGATACTCCTTGAGAAGAGCAACTCCAAGACACATAATTGTCAAATTCACCAAAGTTGAAATGAAGGAAAAAATGTTAAGGGCAGCCAGAGAGAAACATCGGGTTACCCACAAAGGGCAACCCACCAGACTAACAGCGGATCTCTCAGCAGAAACTCTACAAGCCAGAAGAGAGTGGGGGCCAATATTCAGCATTCTTAAAGAAAAGAATTTTAAACCCAGAATTTCATATCCAGCCAAACTAAGCTTCATAAGTGAAGGAGAAATAAAATCCTTTACAGACAAGCAAATGCTGAGAGATTCTGTCACCACCAGACCTGCCCTACAAGAGCTCCTGAAGGAAGCATTAAACATGGAAAGGAACAACCAGTACCACCCACTGCAAAAGCATGACAAATTGTAAAGACCATCGAGGCTAAGAAGAAACTGCATCAACTAACGAGCAAAATAACCAGCTAACATCATAATGACAGGATCAAATTCACACATAACAATATTAACCTTAAATGTAAATGGGCTAAATGCTCCAATTAAAAGACACAGACTGGCAAATTGGATAAAGAGTCAAGACCCATCAGTGTGCTGTATTCAGGAAACCCATCTCATGTGCAGAGACACACATAGGCTCAAAACAAAGGGATGGAGGAAGATCCACTAAGCAAAAGGAAAACAAAAAAAGGCAGGGGTTGCAATCCTAGTCTCTGATAAAACAGACTTTAAACCAGCAAAGATCAAAAGAGACAAAGAAGGCCATTACATAATGGTAAAGGGATCAATTCAACAAGAAGAGCTAACTATCCTAAATATATATGCACCCAATACAGGAGCACCCAGATTCATAAAGCAAGTCCTTAGAGATCTACAAAGAGACTTAGACTCCCACACAATAATAATGGGAGACTTTAACACCCCACTGTCAACATTAGACAGATCAACGAGACAGAAAGTTAACAAGGATATCCAGGAATTGAACTCAGCTCTGCACCAAGAGAACCTAATAGACATCTACAGAACTCTCCACCCCAAATCAACAGAATATACATTCTTCTCAGCACCACATCGCACTTATTCCAAAATTGACCACATAGTTGGAAGTAAAGCCCTCCTGAGCAAATGGAAAAGAACAGAAATTATAACAAACTGTCTCTCAGACCACACTGCAATCAAACTAGCACTCAGGATTAAGAAACTCACTCAAAATCGCTCAACTACATGGAAACTGAACAAGCTGCTCCTGAATGACTACTGGGTACGTAAGGAAGTGAAGGCAGAAATAATGATGTTCTTTGAAACCAATGAGAACAAAGACACTACATACCAGAATCTCTGGGACACATTTGCAGTGTGTAGAAGGAAATTTATAGCACTAAATGCCCACAAGAGAAAGCAGGAAAGATAGAAAATTGACACCCTAACATCACAATTAAAAGAACTAGAGAAGCAAGAGCAAACACATTCAAAAGCTAGCAGAAGACAAGAAATCACTAAGATCAGAGTGGAACTGAAGGAGATAGAGACACAAAAAACCCTTCAAAAAATCCGTGAATCCAGGAGCTGGTTGTTTGAAAAGATCAACAAAATTGATAGACTGATAGCAAGACTAATAACAAATAAAAGAGAGAAGAATCAAATAGATGCAATTAGAAATGATAAAGGGGATATCACCACTGATCCCACAGAAATACAAACTACCATCACAGAATACTATAAACACATCTACGCAAATAAACTAGAAAATCTAGAAGAAATGGATAAATTCCCAGACACATACACTCTCCTAAGACTAAACCAGGAAGAAGTTGAATCTCTGAATATACCAATAACAGGCTCTGAAATTGAGGCAATAATTAAGAGCCTACCAACCAAAAAAAGTCCAGGACCAGACGGATTCACAGCTGAATTCTACCAGAGGTACAAGGAGGAGCTGGTACCATTCCTTCTGAAACTATTCCAATCAATAGAAAAAGAGGGAATCCTCCCTAACTCATTTTATGAGGCCAGCATCATCCTGATGCCAAAGCCTGGCAGAGACACAACAAAAAAAAAGAGAATTTTAGACCAATATCCCTGATGAACATTGATGTGAATATCCTCAATAAAATATTGGCAAACCAAATCCAGCAGCACATCAAAAAGCTTATCCACCATGATCAAGTGGGCTTCATCACTGGGATGCAAGGCTGGTTCCTCACACGCAAATCAATAAACGTAATCCAGCATGTAAACAGAACCAAAGACAAAAACCACATGATTATCTCAATAGATGCAGAAAAGGCCTTTGACAAAATTCAACAGCGCTTCATGCTAAAAACTCTCAATGAATTAGGTATTGTTGGGACATATCTCAAAATAATAAGAGCTATTTATGACAAACCCACAGCCAATATCATACTGAATGGCCCAAAACTGGAAGCCTTCCCTTTGAAAACTGGCACAAGACAGGGATGCCCTCTCTCACCACTCCTATTCAACATAGTGTTGGAAGTTCTGGCCAGGGCAATCAGGCAGGAGAAAGAAATAAAGGGTATTCAATGAGGAAAAGAGGAAGTCAAATTGTCCCTGTTTGCAGATGACATTATTGTATATTTAGAAAACCCCATCGTCTCAGCCCAAAATCTCCTTAAGCTGATAAACAACTTCAGCAAAGTCTCAGGATACAAAACCAATGTGCAAAAATCACAAGCATTCTTATACACCAATAACAGACAAACAGAGAGCCAAATCATGAGTGAACTCCCTTTCACAATTGGTTCAAAGAGAATAAAATACCTAGGAATCCCAACTTACAAGGGATGTGAAGGACCTCCCCAAGGAGAACTACAAACCACTGCTCAACGAAATAAAAGAGGATACAAACAAATGGAAGAACATTCCATGCTCATGGATAGGTAGAATCAATATCGTGAAAATGGCCATACTGCCCAAGGTAATTTATAGATTCAATGCCATCCCCATCAAGCTATCAATGACTTTCTTCACAGAACTGGAAAAAACTACTCTAAAGTTCATACGGAACCAAAAAAGAGCCTGCATTGCCAAGACAATCCTAAGCCAAAAGAAGAAAGCTGGAGGCATCATGCTACCTGACTTCAAACTATACTACAAGGCTACAGTAACCAAAACAGCATGGTACTGGTGCCAAAACAGACATATAGACCAATGGAACAGAACAGAGCCCTCAGAAATAATACCACACATCTACAACCATCTGATCTTTGATAAACCTGACAAAAACAAGCAATGGGGAAAGGATTCCCTATTTAATAAATGGAAAACTGGCTAGCCATATGTAGAAAGCTGAAACTGGATCCCTTCCTTATACCTTATACAAAAATTCATTCAAGATGGATTAAAGACTTAAATGTTAGACCTAAAACCATAAAAACCCTAGAGGAAAACCTAGGCAATACCATTCAGAACATAGGCATGGGCAAGGACTTCATGTCTAATACACCAAAAGCAATGGCAACAAAAGCCAAAATTGACAAATGGGATCTAATTAAATTAAAGGGCTTCTTCACAGCAAAAGAAACTACCATCAGAGTGAACAGGCAACCTACAGAATGGGAGAAAATTTTTGCAATCTACTCATCTGACAAAGGGCTAATATCCAGAATCTACAAAGAACTGAAACAAATTTACAAGAAAAAAACAAACAACCCCATCAAAAAGTGGGCGAAGGATATGAACATACACTTCTCAAAAGTAGACATTTATGCAGCCAACAGACATATGAAAAAATGCTCATCATCACTGGCCATCAGAGAAATGCAAATCAAAACCACAATGAGATACCATCTCATGCCAGTTAGAATGGCGATCATTAAAAAGTCAGGAAACAAAAGGTGCTGGAGAGGATGTGGAGAAATAGGAACACTTTTACACTGTTGGTGGGACTGTAAACTAGTTCAACCATTGTGGAAGACAGTGTGGCGATTCCTCAAGGATCTAGAACTAGAAATACCATTTGACCCAGCAATCCCATTACTGGGTATATACCCAAAGGATTATAAATCATGCTGCTATAAAGACACATGCACACGTATGTTTATTGTGGCACTATTCACAATAGCAAGGACTTGGAACCAACCCAAATGTCCAACAATGATAGAGTGGATTAAGAAAATGTGGCACATATACACCATGGAATACTATGCAGCCATAAAAAAGGATGAGCTCATGTCCTTTGTTGGGACATGGATGAAGCTGGAAACCATCATTCTCAGTAAACTGTTGCAAGAACAAAAAAAACAAACACCGCATGTTCTCATTCATAGGTGGGAATTGAACAATGAGAACACTTGGACACAGGAAGGGGAACATCACACACCGGGGCCTGTTGTGGGTGGGGGGAGGGGGGAGGGAAAGCATTAGGAGATATACCCAATATAAATGACGAGTTAATGGGTGCAGCATACCAACATGGCACATGTATACATATGTAACAAACCTGCACATTGTGCACATGTACCCTAGAACTTAAAGTTTATATATATTAAAAAAAAAGAATATTTCCTGATTTTTCACTCCATTCTCATTGTCTAGTCACCCACTCAAGAAACATCTAAAATCCTTCTCTAGATTACTCATATGGCGTCTGTGTTCCTTACCTTCAGGCTCTCACCTTGTCAGGTCATTGGTAATATTGCTGAAAAATTATTCTTCCTAAAATTTTGACCAAAAAAATCATTATTTGCCAATAAAATATTTTCCGACAACTCAAATCCATTCTTTAGTTTTTATCCCCTTCCTTTTAGAAAGTATACTCCAGAAGCTGGGACTCTATTTCCTACTATAGGAGGCAGACTCCAAAATGACCCCAATGACCTTGCTTTCTGGGTGTTCATGCCCTTGTATAATCCCTTCCCACTGAGTGAGGGCTGAATGACAGATTTCCAACAACCAGAATACAACAAAAGTAATGGAATGCCACTTCTCAGATTAGTTGAAAAAAAAAGACTGTGATTTGTGCCTCTTTTGTCCTCTTGCTCTCTCTCTCTCAGCCCTCACTATTGGGAAGCAAGTTGCCATCTTATGAGCAGGGAGAGGCCCACATCCCAAGGAGCTGATGTTTCTGGCCAACAGCCAGTGAGGACCTGAGGCCTGCCAGGTCACATGAGGGAGCCTGGAAGTGGGTCTTCTCAGTCCTGCCAACAGCTGTGAGTGAGCATGGACGCAGATCCTCTCCCAGTGGAGCATTTGGATGACCACGGCTCTGGCTAACACCTCACTTACAGCCTTGGGAGAGATTCTGAGTCAGAGGCATCCAGCTAAATTGACCCACAGACACGGTAATGTACAAATATTTCTTCTTTTAAGTTGCTAAGTTTTGGTGGTAGTTTGTAATGCAGCAAATTGAAGAGGGATGCTGCCAAAACAAATACAGAAAAAAACAGGGAAGTGGCTTGGAAACAGGCAGTGGGCGAAGGCTAGGATTCTGAAGAGTGTATTGGAGCAAGACTAAATTGCACTGCACAGATTGTGAGTGGAAACTGGAAGGGAGCGTGCTTATTATGTAGTGACACAAAGCTTAGCAACATTATCACCTTCTCTAACGAGAAAGTAGGAAGTGTTCCTTGTGAACAGGGTGATCTGGCTAAGTAGACTTCTAAACACAGTGGTGAAGGTGCAGCCTGATTTCTTCTTGCTGCTTGTAGTAAAATGTAAAAAGAATAGAGTTCAGCTGAGAGTACTATTAAACAGAAAGGAATTCTTTCTGTTTAAACAGAAACTTGATGGTTTTCAAAGTCTTAAAATTAAGTCTACAGTTAAGAAATGGCTTCCAAACAGAGTTCAAATCCATGGAACTGCCAGAAGAATGCGGTTTAAAAATGAAGCAGAATGTATAACCAGGCTGGGCGTGGAGGCTCACACCTGTAATCCCAACACTTTGGAAGGCTGAGGTGGGTGGATCACTTGAGGTCAGGAGTTTGAGACCAGCCTGGCCAACATGGTGAAACCTTGTTTCTACTAAAACAAAATACAAAATTAGCTGGGAATGGTGGCACTGGCCTGTAATCCCAGCTACTTGGGAGGCTGAGGCATGAGAAACGCTTGAACCCGTAAGGCAGAGATTGCAGTCAGCCAAGATTGCATCAATGTGCTGTAGTCTAGGCAACAGAGCAAAACTCTGTCTCCAAAAAAAAAAAAAAAAAGAAAGAGAAAGAAAGATAGTACAACCAATAAAATCTTAAGAATTCTGCCCTTAGGAAATTCAAATTTTTGAATAATGAGTGATAAACAAACCTGTCACTGCCTAAAGGGACATACTGTCTCCCAATGATACCAACATCATTGGAAAGATAATCTGAAACATAGGCTGCTGGTGCTGCTGCTGCTCAAAAAACAAGCAGAGAAGGGAGAACCCATGGAGGAATTGTCTCCAAACAACGTCCACCCTCATTTCTACACAGTCTTGGCTTGAGGTGAATTTTCTCCGAGTATGGCATTCCCTTGGCCACACTGATCAATGTAACCAAGAGTGGCTAGGACCAAAGCCATTCAGTCTATCTCAGAGCATATGATTAATACTACTATCAATAGGATTCCAAGCAGCAGAATTAGTCTAACTTTCGGCATTGATAACAACTATATTCTCTAGGCTCCCAGACCCAACTGGTTAAAGAAATCCCATAAACCATCAGGATATACCTTAGAAACCCAGGACTTTCTCCTTAAGCTTCTGTATTGACCTTTCCACTTGGCCTAAGGTATTGAACCAGGTACAGCAGGATCAATAATTACATAGACTCAAACCTTGGCATACAAGGAGGAAGTCTAGGGGTTAGAGCAATTCTACTGTCCAGAAAAACCCTGGCCAAAAGGTTGAGGCTGACATGACTGCCTTCCAGGACTGAGGTGGTACCAATAACCACATTACCTAAAATCAGGAACCATTTTCATAAGATCTTATCTGATTAAATGACTTTAATCATAAGGACAATTGCCTGTAGGGCTCATACAAATAATAAATTAGTTATCCCTCAGGAAAGCTCCCTTTAGTAACTAAGAGTAGCCTCATTTTGGAGGGATCTCTATAATCATCTGAAGGCTACATGATCTAATGGTGGTCTTTCTTTAAATACATATATATATTTTAAAATTCTTTAAAATATCCTAAAGAAAAGATTTCATTTTTTCTTTATTTTTAAGAAAAGACTTCTTACAAAGGTCTTTCTTTGGTGATGGATATCCCAAGTAAACGGATTTGATCTTTACAAATTAAATGAATATATTAAATTGTCACATGTACCCTGAAATGATGTATATCTTATGCATCAATAAAAATATTTTTAAAAGAATCACCTGGAGATCCTATTAAACTGCAGATTCTGATTCTATTTTTAAAAGCCTTTCTTTAAATACATTTAAATATATAAAAATTCCTCTAAGGTGCAGCTACATAAGCAGTTCAAAGAATGTGACCAGTTGCCACAATTTGCTTCCACTGTTTGCCATCCCAAACTTTTTTTTAATTGATTGATTAGAGACAGGGACTCATTCTGTCACCCAGGCTGGAATGTAATGGCACAATCATAGCTCACTGCAGCTTCAAACTCCTGGGCTCAAGTGATCTTCCCACCTCAGCTTCCCATGCAGTTGGGACTATAGGCATGCAGCAATGCCATGCCGGGCTTTTACAAAATTATTTTTTTAGAGACACGTCTTGCTATGTTGTCCAGGCTGGTCTTGAACTCCTGGCCTCAAGTTATTCTCCCACCTCAACCTCCCAAAGTATTGAAATTCCAGGTGTGAGCCACCACTCCTAACCCTATCTATCCCAAACTTTTATATGTCAGTCTGTAATTTTAGGAGTGACAGACCCAACAAGTCAGTCGTAATAGACCCAGAGTTAGTAAAAATATAACATGTTTCATCAAGGGGAGTATTGGCCAGTGATATAAATGGGCTTGAGTGCTGCCTATTGAGCAGAGTGGCCATGTCCATTCTGGTGTCTGCATAACTAGTGCTGAGATTGAAAAACCAGAAGACAACATTGAACAACTTGGCAGAACTATCAGTGAACCAATACCAGGGATTTAAAGAAAACCTATGAATTGAAGACATCATCAAGCCAAACTCCCTGTTTCAGGAGGCAGAGAGACAAAGTTTTAATCAAACAGAAGGCTACCACTTGTAGCCAGGTTGGCAGCTTTCTGGAATCTGTCATTTCTATTTGACAAACAATGTTTGTTGAACCCTTCCAATCCTGTTGGTCATGAGTTCAAGTTGACCCATCTCAAACTGAGAGTATCAGGCCAAAGGTATTGTCTGTCCATGGGTCAGACATTCAATTTCTTTTTATTATTATTTTTAATGTTTTTTTTTTTTTATACTTTAAGTTCTGGGATACATGTGCAGAACATGCAGGTTTGTTACATAGGTATGCATGTGCCATGGTGGTTTGCTGCACCCATCAACCGGTCATCTACATTAGGTATTTCTCCTAATGCTATCCCTCCCCTAGCCCTCCACCCTCTGACGGGCCCCAGTGTGTGATATTCTCCTCCCTGTGTCCGTGTGTTCTCATTGATCCACTCACACTTATGAGTGAGAACATGCGGTGTTTGGTTTTCTGTTCCTGTGTTAATTTGCTAAGAATGATGGTTTCCAGCTTCAACCATGTCCTTGCAAAGGACATTAACTCATCCTTTTTTATGACTGCATAGTACTGCATGGTGTATATGTGCCACATTTTCTTTATCCAGTCTATCATTGGTGGGCATTTGGGTTGGTTCCAAGTCTTTGCTATTGTGAATAGTGCTGCAATAAACATACGTGTGCATGTGTCTTTACAGTAGAATGATTTATAATCCTTTGGGTATATACCCAGCAATTGGATTGCTGGGTCAAATGGTGGCATGTGCCTGTAGTCCCAGCTAGTGAGGAGGCTGAGGCAGGAGAATCGCTTGAACCGGGGAGGCGGAGGTTGCAGTGAGCTGAGATCATGCCACTGCACTCCAGCCTGAGCGACAGAGCAAGACTCTGTCTCAAAAAAAAAAAAATTTTTTTGAACACACCCTTCATTGCCACAGCTGCTTGTGCTACAGAAAATAAACAAAAACAACAAAAATATCCTTTCAAATAAAAATAGAAACCAGAAATATCAAATTAATTTTTATTTTTTATGCCTTAAAATTGTGATGATTCTTTTACACTATCGTTATTGGATCTTTTGACAGGTTGCCTTGAAAAGGATTTAAATTTTTTATCATACATATTTACTGTTTCCACAGCAAAATAAGCTGCTTGTGAGCATAAAATATATTCACCATGTCTTAATATTCTTAATTCAATTCCATTTAATACATTTACCTACTTATAAAGAGAGAAATGCTATTGTATTTAAGTCCCTGATAAATATATTCTATATGAGAAGGGAACCAGTGATCTTTTTTCCCACTGAGATCCTGAACTAAACGGTCGACAGACCAAAGTGGACCTCTATAATTCAAATGTCACACTGCAAATTCAAACTGGCAGTCTTCCTTGAGTTTCATTTTACTTGCCAAGAGAACAATGAAGTACTTATTCTGATGCCAGTAGAACTGTGGGAAGAAACTAAGAGATTTGTATTTCCCTGAATTTTCCTCTATAGAAGAGGGCAGCTATGAGTGACTGAAGAGACATGTTATCATTATTTTAGTAATTCTATAATTGTACAAGTAATTGAATGTTGAAAAATATGGTGTTTATATAAAAATTGATTCGTGTAATTGCAAAAATGCTATCAGATCATCAGATAGAACCAGAAATTACAGTTACAGAATTTAAAGTACAAAAAAAAGTAAAACCAACACAAATGTCATTGGTGGTATTACATGGATTATGGTATTACATAGATTAATGATAAACATAGTCTCAATCTTACAATCTCCTTCTAGGGAGAATAATTCTAGTCCTTTCCTCACATGGCTGACTTGTGGTTTGTGGCAGCCATTCCTTCTTGCAAAGTGCTTGCAATACCAGGACTCAAAGATCTTTACTGCAAGATTCCTGGCATCTTTACACTGGACCACTCCAATACTGATTGCATGTAACCGCTTCCCACAAACACCCGCAGGTGACACCCTTGCAAGCCATATTCAGATTTGGTAGGTCTGAGGCTGGGTGGGTAAATCTGTACTTTTAAAGAAGTACCATGATATTCTCATACTGAAGCAAGTTGAAGACACAGAGTTTTAAGCCATTTTGTAAGTCCTCAGAGAGCAGGAACTATGTCATATTCATTTTATATCCACATAATCACATAACTGCAAAGTACATTATACACAGCAGATTTTAAATTATATTAAATACTGAGTTGACATAAAGCCTATTCAATAAATAAATTTAAAACATAATGAATAATTATATAACCACCACCAATAAACTAACAACTTATTTAAGGAAAAGGAACAGAACCACTCATTTTCATTGAAGTCCTCTGTGTGTGCCTCCTTGATTCCATTTCAGTTGCTTACTCTTCTGGAGTAATTCTGCTGAATTTTATCAGAGTTTTTTTTTTTTTTTTTTTTTTAGTTTTGCTATATTTTTATATCCAAACTATGTGTCATTTTGACATGATTTTATGCTTTATATAAATGGAATAATATTGTGTGTATTTTTTAAACATTTTACTCCAGCGTATGGTTTATCTTTTCACTGTCTTAAAAGTATTCTTTCGATGAACAGAAGTTAAGTTTTAATGTAGTCAGTTTTCTTAGTGGCTCATTTAGGAAACATTTATTTTTATTTATTTATTTTTTTTTTGAGACAGAGTCTCGCTCTGTGGCCCAGGATGGAGTGCCGTGGTGTGATCTCGGCTCACTGCAAGCTCTGCCTCCCAGGTTCATGCCATTCTCCTGCCTCAGCCTCCCAAGTAGCTGGGACTACAGGCACCCACCACCATGCCCGGCTAATTTTTTGCATTTTTAGTAAAGACGGGATTTCACCGTGTTAGCCAGGATGGTCTCAATCTCCTGACCTCGTGATCCACCTGCCTCAGCCTCCCAAAGTCCTGGGATTACAGGCATAAGCCACCACACCCAGCTGTAAGAAACATTGCTAAAAACTGAGGTCATAAAGGCATTCTTCTATGCTATCTTCCAAATTTTATATTTTTGCTTTTCACATTTACGTAGTCAGTCCACTTGAGATGGAATTTTGGGTATGGATTATATGGGGGCTCAACTTCACTATATTCTCTTTATTGAAGAGCCAAACATTTCTCAACTCTTCTAGAGTGTAATCTATGTCATAAATCAGGTTTCTGTATATCTACAGTGCTGTTTCTGGGCTCCCTGACCAACTTGCCCATTCTTTTGCCCCAAAGTATAAATTTATTAAAGTTTAATAATAATTATTTCCATTTTAAAGCATGTGAAATGCCATGGTTATTTCTCATGTATTGCCCTTTCATGTATATTTTAGCAATAGCTTATCAAATTCCATTTAAAAATCTTTTGAAATTATTTTTACTAGAATTGCACCAAATCAACAGTTACTGAATCTTCCAATCCATGAACAAGGTTTCTTTGTCCTATTTTATACACTTTCTTTGGTATATCTCAATACAATTTTGTTTTTCTCTATGAAGCTCTTCCCTATCATTTATGTCTTGAAGTCTTGTAAATGGTAACTTATAAATTATGTTTTCTCCTGGTTTGCAGACATATTGAAATAGATGTTTTATTTTACATTAATTATGTATTCAGCAAAGTTGCTATAACTTTATATTATTTCTAATAACTTATCTATAGGTACTTTTTGAGATTTTTTAAATAGACAATCTCATCATATGTGAATAACAGTTTCATTTCTTTACAATTTATTTCTTTAATTTCTTTTACTTGCCTTCCAGTACAATGTCAAATATAAAAAGTGACAGATTTTCCAATGTTAAACCATACTTGCATTCCTGGCTAAACCCAACCTAGCTATGATATATTATCTCTTTTATATGTTGCTTCATATGGTTTGCTAATATTTTGTTTAGGACCTTTTTGCATTGTTTTTATGAATGGGATGGACCTATAAGTTTTCTTTCTCATCATTGTTAGCTTTTGGTACCAAAGTTATGTTTTATTACTTCATACATCTCACACTGTCAAAGTTTTACTGCATTCCTGGTATCAAAGTTGTACTACTTTTGTTTTTCTGTCTTCTGGAATAAGTTATATGCAATTGGAGATATTTGTTCTAGTTTGGTATAATTGATAATAAAATGATTTTGACCTTATATTTATTTTCTTTCTTCTCTTTTTTTTCTTTTCCTCCCTCCCTTTCTTCTATTTTCTGCTGTTTTTTACTCATGGTGCTTTATTTTCCTGCGAACTTTGTACCTTGAAACCGTCAACTCATATTTCTCGAAACTTTAACTTTTTTTCTTTGAGTAAAGATGAACGCCCAAGGAAAGATATGCTTTTTTTTTTCTTCTGAAAAGTAACATAAATTAAGGCTACTTGTGATCATAATTTGTTAGAAAAAATTTTTTTGGCTTTTCCACTCAGCACCCAAGGTTTGACACTGGCAATTTTCCATGCAGTCCCTGGGGTGATAGATTTATTTTCACCTTACAGAAAGGTGTAGTCCATGGGGTTCCAGCTTTATGATGAAGTTTCCTAATTAGGCATCCCATATCAGGTGGACCCTGGGTTTTGTCTACTATAACTCAAAGCAATACCAATTACAGTATCATCATAACATTTAAGCATTAACGATAATTATGACATTATGATGAGTGAAAGAAGCAGTTCAAGAAAAGTATGTTCTGCTTTTATTGTAATTATATTCTAGAATTAAGTATGTTGTGCTTTTATTCTAATTACATTCTAGAATTGGAGAAATTAACTTATAGTTTCAAAAAGCAGACTGAATAGTTGTCTCAGGCTGAGAGTGACTACAAAGTTCCCTAAGGTAACTATTTGAGGTAATAAAAATGTCTTGTATCTTGATTATGGTGGTGGTTACTCATCAAACCATTAACTTAAATACACTTAAAATTAGTGCATTTATTGTATGTAAATTATTACTCATTAAAGTTAATATTTAAATGGAGCTATGTAATGATAATATATAAAATTATATCTTTAAGATCTGTGCATTTCACTCTATGTCAAATTTATCTCAATAAATCCATTAAAAAAATCCCTTTAGGAACTGAAACTTCAGAAATCAATTAGAGTTTTTAACATCTTTTATCAAGCCTGGCAAAACTCCATGATAAAGCAGCTTTACCATCTCAGTCCTTGGCCACATCACCATTCAGTTTTTATTGCAAATGGAAATGTGTTTCTGTGATAGAAAATATGTTTCTATGATTTAAGGCTATTTCTAAGTGAATACATTGGGAAGGAGATAAGGACATATATGCAGTATTGTAATTTAGGCCATTTTGACTATTCTGTTTCAACTGCAGGTTTATTCAGTTATGACTAAAAAGAAGGCATGTTACTGTGAGTCACCAAGTTGCTATTTTGATATTCCCAAAGGTTTTCAAGGGCTAAAATATGCACGTTTGTTTTTTTTTCTGGTTTTACATGAAGAAGATTGTGGTTTAGTGTGATAGAGATAGGGTCTTCTTGCAAATTCATGGACTCTCAAGACAATTAAAATGCTGTAGCAAGCAAAAGCCCATTGAAACCTGTCATTGAAGAGATTACAGGCTAATGGGGGGAATTTATGGATAAATAATGACAGAAAGAGATACACACAGTGCTACTGACACACTTTTAAAAGACCACTAGCCCAGCAATGCTTTGTGAAGGAGATGAAACTTAAATGGAACCCTGAAAGGTGCACAGGATTAAGCTGACATACAAGGGCAACAGAGTCAGTGTACTAGACACCATAAAAGGTATAGGAAACAAAAGGCATAGAAAATCCAGGGGATCCCGATGGCCCCTGGGAAAGTAAGTCTGTTTCCCAGGCATCCGTCTCTCACTATGTCTTTTAGCATTTTAGAATGTTTTGGTAAATTATTCAACTAATAAAATATATGTTTTTAAAGTCAGAAAAATACTGTCATTTGTGGTAGTTTCTATGACATCTCTTTAACACTGCAAACTCTGTGTTTCATCATTGTAATATTGAATTGTTCTAGCATTGTTTCTAGGGAGTACAAAGTCTACACTTTCAGAGAAATTTAATTACATGGAAGAATTTGATAAAGTTTATTTGGTATTTCGTATCTAGCTCATGAGTAAATAATATCACAATGTGGCAGTGGGAAGGAAAATATATTCAAATCATTTGCATCATAATTTTTTTAAATCAAAGAAAATGATCTGCAAAAAGATGACATTGTTTAGATGAAGGTTCCTATCCTAACCTGTATCTCCCCTTTACCCATCTTTCTGTCTGTACACAGTGTATTAAAAAATAACATCTCCATATATGAAGAATATTTCTAGAGAGAATCTTTCAAGTACAGGAGGATGTCTACCCCGTGGGATCAGAGTGAGTGTGTGTGTGTGTGGCGTGTGTGTGGTGTGTATGGTGTGTGCGTCTGTGGTGTGTGTGGGTATGTGTGGTGTGTGCGTGTCGTGTGTGGGTATGTGGTGTGTGTATGGTGTGGGGGCGTGAGGTGTGTATGTATTTGTGGTGTGTGTGGTGTGTGAGGGTGGTGTTTGTCGTGTGTGTGGTGTGTGTGTGGTTGTGAGGGTATGTGTGGTGTGTGTGATGTGTGTGTGGGCATGTGTGGTGTGTGTGTGGTGTGTGTGTGTGGTGTTTGTGGGTATGTGTGGTGGGTGTGTGTGGGTATGTGTGGTGTGAGTGTGGTGTGTGTGTGTGGTGTGTGTGGGTATGTGTGGTGTGTGTGTGGTGTGTGTGTGGATATGTGTGGTGTGTGTGCATGGGTATGTGTGGTGTGAGTGTGGTGTGTGTGTGGTGTGTGTGTGTGTTAAGCATGTGTATACACTACTTAGGCCAGTGCACATATGGATAGGGTCTTAAACGGAATGTTTTCCAAGCACCTTGTGATTCTTGGCTTTGGTGACAATGACTGTTGCTATAGATTTGGGGATCATAAAACAAAGGATATAATTAAATTTAATGATTTTAGAGATTAGACCAAATTGGAGTCTGTGAACAGGCTGTTAAATATATTTCCTTTATTCTTCAGTTTCCTCTAATTGCCATAAATCAGCCTGCCTTTTACATACACTCAACCTCCATTTTTAAGCACTGCTATCTATATTAACAGCAACTAAACATAACGAGAATTATTTTATTATTTAAAGTATAGTATCATTTTAGATATTTTGATATTTTAGATATTTTGATATGTCTACCATATAAATCATGCAACTAAATACTACTATAATTTAAAGATATATTTAGTGTTTTGAGAAATCAAGAATTTTGTATCAAAAGATTATTTTCTAAAAAAGTACTGGATTTACAGACAGTATAAATCACTATGTGCATTATTACTGTGTAAACATCATACAGACCTGCTGTTGGACATTTGCTTTTTCCCTTTAATTTGAATCACAAGATATTTAAAGTGTTAGGGGTTAAAAATATCCATGGCTAAATATTAAGAAATGAGTCTAAATTGCAGAACCTATACCTAAAATATATGCTATGTTTCAGAATTGTTTTTTGAATGATTATTTTCAAACTATTATTCAATGCACAAAACACATCACTCTAGAGAAGTTCTTCAGAACATACAGATAGTTAATAAGACACAAAGAATATTTAATTTTACATATGAAGCAGGAAAGTACAGGTAAGCATTACTTTAAACCAAAAAACAAACCTTAAGAAAATAGTTGTTATTGTTATTGCAGTTGCCAGACATTCCTTGCAATTCAGCCACAGTGTTCTAAAATGGTTGACAAAAAATATTAAAGAAGGCTTAACCCCCACCGCAGAGAGCAGCCTGATAAAGGATTGAAAAACACTGAGTCCCAGTGCTTACTGTAATACACACTGTTAAGTACTAAGACAATATTGCGGCATGTTGGTAAAAAATGCCCACACTCTTGGTTTCTCAGTATTATAGATACAGTATAAAGTCTATTTACATTATTATATTCACATTATTAAAAGGCCAACCATAATAATTGCATTCTCTTGTTTACACACACAAGCTGTTTCCAACTAGGAATGGCAAACAGTATGAGTCAAACTTAATGTTATCCCTCTAACACTTTTTATAACATAAATATTATATTATTGTATACCTTTTAATACTTATGCAAACCAAAGCTTCCATTATATTTTTGCCTCTAATTATGACATGCTAACACAAGCAATAAAAAACCATACCCATGAGGGCAGCTACTCTAAACTGTATTCAATACTTTAAAAGATTCTAAAAAAAAAGTTGCTATAATATTGTTATAATGATATTAATTTCCAGTAATGAAAACAAATTATGAAAGAAAGATTAAATTATATTTTAGGGGCTTCAGTATAGAAGGGGCTTCAGTTTCTGGAGTGATGATTAACCTTCTTATGAACTACTGCCTAAGGAGACTTTGAAATGCTATCTATAGCTAAGACTTTACAATGTAACAAATACTATATCTTAAAAGAATATTTAAGGAAGCCAAATAATCATAATTTTTAAAGTGTAATACTTTATTTTAATTTCAATGACCATACCTATTTTCTAACTCAAAAATGGAATATAGCACTAGTTCATACTGTATTTCCAGTCTAAGCCTGCAGCATTTCAAACGGCATAATGCTCTTAAATAAAAAATACTCATAATATATACACACTACACAAAATATATACCATAATTACATCATCTCACTACTAAAAGGCTACAAACTGATAGTGGTGGAGTATGACAAGAGATTAAATGTTACTAAAAAGTTAAATTCTAGTTGAAAAATTTATCATACCCCCCGAGTGTCATGAAATAGTGCTGATTGTCTGAGAGATTTATTGAAATCCTCCATGGCAACCTTTCAGATTATTAAAAAAAAGAAAAGAGAAAGAAAGAAAAAAAAAACAAGTGATCAATACTTCGATTAAACAGAAATTAAATCATGAATCACAGATATATTCAGATATACATTTAAAATTTTTCAATTGTTCAAATATTCATCTCCCTCTTCTTAAATAGGATCCTCCTTTTTATTCTACAGCTTTTAGGCAGAGCCATTTTAACATTTTTTTTTAATCAGAATGTTTAACAGAGAGTAAACAAAAACAGGGATGCAAATTAAAATAAAATTGGCTGTTTGCTTATTTTAAACCCTTCTAAAGATGTAGAGGAAGAAAAAAACAGAAAAAGCAGAAATTTAAATAGTTTGAAAATTATCTACATAGCTTAAATTCTACTAGAGTATGACTTATAATTTCCTAAAGCATTGAAACAGATATGTCTAAGCATAAGCAATATATTGTAAGTTAATCTTTCTCAATATAGTTTTTAGAGCTCCACTGTAGGTTTATAATTTCAGGATCTATTTCTCCCATTGTGATGTTTTCCATGTAGTGAATGCAAGCAAGCAAATACCCTCTGTCAATGTGACAAGTTCCAAGTTACAATCAACTTTGGATGATTTGATCAAAAACAGAAGCTATCTATCCTTCAGCAGAAAATGCTGACTAAGAGCTGGCTCTGGAAATCAGTTGGATGAACTTGGTTGTTCTGTATCTAAATGGAGGTTTTCCTGGCTGGTGCAGGGAATGTCACAGGAGATACTGTCAAATAAAAATAACTCTAACTTTGAAATCACAAGATGATTCTATAAATCATAAAAGTAAAAAAACCAAGTGACTGATTAACAAAGATATACTAATCAATAAATTGTTCAATTATATATGAAATTAACTCAATTATTCAAGGAGCATTTATCCATTAGCTATCCAATATTTGTTCTTCTCATTTCCTTTATGCCTCTTGGACATTTTATTCTTCATTCACAAAGAAAGACAGAGAGTAAATAGAAAATAGGGAAAAAGCACTCAAATCAATCCATTTAATAATTTTTTCAGCATTAGAAAAAAGAATTTGAATCAAGTGACAATTTGAAGTTTTAACATTGGAGTGGATTTTCACTATTTGTACAGCTTTCATCTCTCCTATGCACTGAAAATTAACAGTTGGTTTTATCTGGGCATGTTTTGTTGAGGCAGTGTGTAACATACAAGAAAGGGAAAAAACCCAAGTCACAGAGGATGAGAGACAGATACAAAGGAGAAGTCTCCTTGACTTTTTTCCATAAAGTGAGTTACTTGGAGTAACATAGCAAGCACCTCGTTTTTACTTCTACAACTTGCAGAAAGAAAAACAGTTTAACTTAAAGCTAAACTAATTAAAAAAAATTTGAGTACTCAATTATTCTTCTCTTTAAACTCTATAAAGATGATTCTTATGGACTGTTGCATAGAGAAAATAATTATCCAAAGACTTGATTTCCCTATTATTAGAAATACAGAACAAAGAATCATAGAACCTAAACTCCATCACCGCAAACAGTAATTCTCTTAACATCTTTTGTTACCCAGTTATTCTGTGTCTGCAGGAGTGTTCTTACATGCTACTCAAAAACAGCACAGTGTGTTGCAAAGAGTCCAGGCTTTGGAGCCAGCAAGACTTTATTCCAATTTCAACTCTGCCAGCTACTGGATGTACCACTAGAAAAAAACCTCAGTTGCTGCATTTCTAGGGAAAAAAAGAAAATCTCTTCTGGCTGCATTAAAGATTAAATGAGATCATGTAAGAAAGACACCTTGCAAAGTGCTTGCCACTGAATATTTACTTAATTTCCTTGCCCCTGAAAATATCTGCTCAGGTGACAACTCTGATTACTTTACAAAAACAGGCAAACAAAAAAAATCTATAAACAATCTTCCATTTAAGATGTGATACATTCCTAAGTATAAATGTCAAGTAAAAACTATTCTTTTTCCATCTATTCCAATTATCAAGTTAAAGAAAAATCTGGGCCAGGTAGGGTGGCTCACACCTGTAATCCCAGCACTTTGGAAGGCTGAGGCAGGAGGACTGCTTGAGGCCAGGAGTTCAAGACAGGCCTGGACAACATAGTGAGACCTCATCTATAAAAAAAAAATTTTTTTTTTTTAATTAGCAGGATGTGGTTCTGTGTGCTTGTTGCCCCAGCTACTCAGGAGGCTGAGGCAAGGCAGGAGGTTGGCTTGAGCCCAGGAGCTCAAGGATATAGTGAGCTATGCTTGCACCACTGCACTCCAGCCTGGGTGGCAGAGCAAGACCCTGTGTCGTAAAAAAAAAAAAAGAGCAAAATTTTATATCAACTTTTGGGGATGAATGTGATCAGCGCCTCAAAATACCTGCAGAAAATGTGTGGTCTGTGATCTAAATGTTTTACTTGGAGTGCCTTAAAAATGTGACTATCTTCTTTCTTTGCCCCCTCTGCTTGTTAGACTTGATGTCTTATTTCATATTCATGGAACATTAGAAGCTGGAAGGAATTTTGTGATCTAGCCCAATCCCTGTGCTTTCATGCCAAAGACACCAAGGCACACAGACTAGAAAGCCTGGCCATGTCCCCTTCCACCACTTGATGTCACTGTACTCCCCTGAACCTAAGACCAAAAATCCTAGCACAGTGAGGACGCAAAAATCAAACCTGCAGAAAATGATTCTACAATCTCAGAATAAGCTTGCAGCAAAAGCAAATCAGTGTCTCTGATAAAATACAAAATACTAATGTAAAGAATTGAAAACCAGGTAAGATACAAGTTCAAAATATTTGAGGAAATCCCTTTTTTAGTTTGAAAATTCAAGAGAACATTTTTCATACAAAATATCTCAGTGTAATGAAAATATACTTGCCATTTCAAATGGACTCACCAAGTAAGAAAATAAATTAAATCAAGTTCTAAGAGTCTAATTCATTCATTTAAAGGATTTCTAATATATTATTCTTTGATCAAAAGTTAACGGATATACCACCTCTAATTTTCTGCTATAAGTGGAGAATATATCCTCATTATACCACATATTCATGAGATCTTAATATACATTGGGATTAAAACATCTCAGATTAAAAATATGTGAAAATATTTGAATGTCTGTTTATTAATATCTATATCCTGGCTAGAAAGCAAAATTCTGAAAAATTATATATTCAGATAAGAAGGGGTTGAATACATGAAGTTTCACTGTGGTTATATTAGCTGGAATGAAGAATATTTGTTTTACCTGAATATGTACTAGTTTATGGAGTATAAAATACTACAATTAAATTGTTGATGGATCTTTTGACACACCAATATGAAACACATGAATGTTTAAACGTGTTTATAATAAAGCATGTTGTCCCATTATATCAATGTACATTTCAAAGACATTAGAAATAGACCAGCATCTGTATTATATTACAGCACACAAGGGTTCTGGAGAGCTGTTTTCACTTGGGGGTTAGCTTCTATTCATTTACTTGATCTTTTACAGAAAGCAGGATGTAAAATTATTCCAATATGTATCTGCTCTATGGAACATGTGCTAGTGGAAAGCTTTGTTCTGCATTATGTTAGCACAAATCATAGTAAGCAGATCCAAAGAACTTTTTCTTCCTGGGGGAAAAAGACACTGGAAACACTCAGCAATCTTTAGTACTTTTCTATGTATATTTGTTTGTGTATGGGTGTGTTTACTGATTTTTTGGAAAAGCATTACATACTATTGTAGAACATTTGGAAAAGATTGAAAAAATATAAAGCAGAGAGAGAAAATCACCCAATTCCACCAATAAAGATGACATTATTCACATTTTTGTGTTTTTATCCTTTTCTGTTTCTATGACTTCCTTTATAATAGTGCAAAAGATAAGACTTATTTGTGTCCACAGTCTTCATACTGTAAACAGGATACCATGACTTGATTCTTAAGCGTATATCAGATGCGAGTAGTATTTCTTTTCTAAGGTAGAATTTTAGTTCAATGTGGACACACCTTCCTCAAGAAACTGCATAAAACCTGTCATACTGTTATACAGTAGAGAGAGTTTCATGAATTAGAAAATGTGGGAAAAAGAATCTTTGCAAGCACTACTGACCTCGTCATCGTCGGCATCATACTGGGCATAGTGCTGTTCCAGCAGCTCTCTCTGGCGCCTCTCCTGTTCCAGTGTCTGGCTTATCAACTGGGCAACCTCGCTCACTTGTCCTGGTTTTTCCCGCCCAATAACAAATCTGTGGAAAGGTTAACAAAGACTAATATTTAAGACTCTCCAACAAAAAGGAGTTTTAAGAAAAGTAAACAGGTTTGATCTCAGCAGGGTCCATCAAGCCTCAAGAAAGTAATATCACCTACGTACTTCAAAATGGTTTTCTTGGGTGAGAAGAAAGCTTAGATGTGCAATTAAAGTGATTTTTAGGGACACAGCTCATAAAGGAAAAGAAGGGGGAAAAAAGTAAAGGACCATAAAAATTATCATTTTAAGAGAAGATGTAATATACGTAACCCATTCTGCAGTACTTTACACATTTTTGATGCCATACAAAATAGAAGCAAGCTCATAATTTCCTGTACCATTGAACTAAAGAAGCATTTGTGTAACTATAACAAAAATTACTTCAAAAACATTTTGAGGGCTGGGCTCAGTGGCTCAAGCCTATAATCCCAACACTTTGGGAGGCAAAGGTGGGTGGATCACCTGAGGCCCGGAGTTCGAGAGCAGCCTGGCCAAGAAGGCAAAATCCCGTCTCTACTAAAAATACAAAAATTAGCCGGGCGTGGTGGCGCGCACCTGTAGTCCCAGCTACTCTGGAGGCTGAGGCAGGAGAATCGTTTGAATCCGAGAGGCGGAGGTTGCAGTGAGCCAAGACCGCGCCACTGCACTCCAGCCTGGGTGACAGAGACTCTGTCTCAAACCAACAACAACAACAACAACAAACATTTTGACGCATAGCATAACTCAGGTGGCTAAATATATAACTTTGAAATAAGAGAAAAGGAAAACTTAAGTGTTTTTTGTTTTTAAAATGAAAAACTGTAATAACAAGAGGTAGTGAATTAATTCACTTCCTTTGGGGGGAAAGATAGTATGAGAAGGGGTGTGATTCAATAAATAAGGGAGGAAAGGAAATATTTGTTATTAATGCCTATAAAAAAAGCCTAAAGAGAAAAACAAGTAAGATATTTCCTTATTGCAAGCTACAGTCACTTATGGTATATTGTTGCCAACATAATGTGTTGTGCTCAACAATTTAATATTCATTTTTTAACATCTTTTCACACTAATATGTTTCTGTTTTTCTAAAAATACGAATAATGTGTCTCTAGGATGCAGTTTCTAAGTATTACTTATCATTATTTTAATATGAATCTTTGTTTAAATCTTGTTTCTACATTTAATTGATGCTTTCCTCTGATTAATGTATGTTGCTGTCTTTGATCAATTTTAAATGAAATATACCACAATTTTTCTGCACAATACACTAAAGGTCAAAATTTTCACACTTGGATGTTAGTAATTAATTGCCTTTTAATAAATACTTTTATATAGTTTCAAGCAAGATTTACTTTGAAATTATCTTTAAGTGTTCACTTATCTTTTGTGTTATTTTCCTTTGGAAATCAATTATTAATAGAATTTATAAATACTACCTTTTTCATCTTTATTCAGGTACAATTTACACACAATAAAATACATGAATTTTAAATGTACAGTTCAATAACTGTGATACATATGTAAACGCGTAATTACCACACCAATGAAGATACAGAACATTTCCATCAACCCAAACTATTTCCTTATAATCCTTTCCAGTAAGTCATCTTCATCCTGGGCCTATATTAATCTTTTCTAGAATTCTATAAAAATGGAATTTTAGAGTATCTAGCTTGTTTTGCTCACCACAATGATTTGGAGGTTTATCCATGTTGCTGTAAGTATCAGTTATTTGCTCTTTTTTATCACTAAATAGTTTTCCATTGTATTCAATATACCACATTTGGATTATCTATTTTTCTACTGATAGGCATTTGGGTTGATATTATAAAGAAAGTTACTATAAACATTTGTGAACAAGTCTTTATGTGAACATAAGTTTTCATTTCCTTTAGACAAATAATGGAATTGATAAGTCATATGGTAAATGTATAATTAACTTATAAAGAAATTGTCAAATTGTTTTTCGAAGTAATAGTATCATTTCATATTCCCACTAGCAATGCATAAAAGCTGTAGTTGCTTTGCATCCTCATCAACACTTAGTACTGTCTTTAAAAATTTTGGCCATTCTAGTAGGTATCTTGTGGTATTTCATAATGTTTTTAATTTCCATTGCCCTGATGACTGATGATATTATCTTTTCATGCACTTACTGACCATTCACATATCTTCTGCAGTGAAATATCTTTTCAACTGTTTTACCCATTACTGAAAATTGGGTTGTCTTTCTATTATTGAGTTATAATTGTTCTTTATAGACAAAAATACACATACACACACACACACACACACACGTATGTGTGTATTTTATTTTTAAAACAGAGTCTTGCTCTGTCACCCATGCTGGAGTGCAGTGGCATGATCACAGCTCATTGTATCCTAGAACTCCTGGGCTCAAGCAATTCTCCTGCCTCAGCCTTCTGAGTAGCTAACAAGCATGTGCCCCATGCCTGGCAAAGCTCATTTTATAATTTTTTGTAGAGATGACATCTCATTGTTTTGCCCAGGCTGTTCTTGAACTCTTGGCCTCAAGTGATCCTCTCACTTTGGCCCCCCAAAGTGCTGGGATTACAGGCATGAGCCACTGCACCTGGCCCTTTATATATTCTTGACACATATCCTTGTCCATGTATGTTCAATATACATATACAAACATACACAATATACATGTAGGTGTTTATGCATTTAATTTATTTATTAACTCGTCCTAGTCTGTGGCTTGCTTTTTCATTTTTTAAATTGTATCTCTCAAGGAAGTCTAATTTATCACTTTGTTATAAATATTCATGCTGGACACGGTGGCTCATGCCTGTAACCCCAGCACTTCGGGAGGCCAAGGTGGGAAGAATGTTTGAGCCCAGGAGTTCAAGATCAGCCTAAGTAACACAATGAGACCCGTCCCTTAAAAAAAAAAAAAAAAGCCAGGTGTGGTGGCATGCACCTGTAGTTTTAGCTACTTGAGAGGCTGAAGTGGGGAGACTGCTTGACCCCAGGAGGTCAAGGCTGCAGTGAGCCATGATTGCACCAATGCCCTCCAGACTGGGTGACAAAGCAAGACCCTGTCTCAAGAAAAAAAAAAAAAAACTGATGGCTTTTGCTTCCTATCTAAAAAGCCTCTGCCTGATTTAAGATTGCTAAGATTTTCTCCTATTTTTCTCCTTAAAGTGTTTATGTTTTGCTTTTATATTAGGTCTATGATATCTTGTAAATTGATTTCCATGTATGATGTGTGGTAAGGGTGGAGTTTCCTTTTGTATTTCTAAATGGATAATGAATTGTTTCAACATCATATGCTAATAACACACTTCTCTGATTACTATATAATAAATATTTAGGTGGTGTGAGTTTTCTAACTCTGTATCAATTGTTTTTCCTCTGCAATTCCATATAAATTTTAAAATCAGCTTGTCAATTTCTAAAATAAAGCCCATTGGGTTTAATTTAGAATTGCTTTGAATTCTAAATTAATTTGTGGAGAACTGACATCTTAGCAAAATTGACTTATCTGATCCCTGAACATGGTGTATCTCTATATTCATTCAGATTTTTACTTTCTCTCAATAATATACTATGGTTTTCAGTATATAGGTCTTAAAAAATGTTTGTTAAATTTACCTCTAAGTATTTCATTTTTTTTTTTTTTTTGGTATTGTAAGTGATACTGGCTTTTAAATTTCTGTTTCTGGTTATTTGTTTTTAAAGTATAGACATATAATTGATCTTTGAATACTGGCCTTGTATTCTGCGACCTTGCTAAAGTCATTTATTAATCCTAGTACCTTTGCAGATTTCCTAGAATCATTTGATATATAATATCACATCTACTATGAAGAAATACATATTTTACTTCTTCCTTTCCTATCTGTCTATTTATTTGTCTATGTATTTACTGCCTTAATGCCCTGGCTAAAACTTCCAACATATATTAAAAAGAAGGGGTAAGAGTAGACATCCTCACTTTGTTCACTGCTGATCTAGAATTCTAGAATATGAGTTCTAGACTGCCTAGAGATACACAGAATAATTTTATTTAGCAATATTATGTTTTTTATGGTTAAAGATACATAAAGTCTTTAACATGCTTAAAGAATCCATAGACATATAATGACTACCTTGAATTCATTACATTTTTGGTAAATTTTTAAATGTCAGAAATTACGTCTAATGATACAAATACAAAGCAATTCAGAAGCTTATATCCTAGAATGGTAACTTTAGAAAAGCCTAGATTGACCTTTTATCTTTATTTAAATGCATCATAGAGTAGCATTTGACAGAGTATCACTTACTACAAAGTTGACAGGAAATTGAGGGTAGCAGTTAATGTATAAAATGCATATAAATTGAAAACAGCAGCCAAGCTCAAGGTAAAAGGTAAATTAGAATTCAGATTAATTTAAGCCATAAATTCTTTAAACTTATTCAAGAATGTTGTTGTCAGATCTTTTAGTTTAACAGTTTTTCTAATAGGAATAAAGTTCATTTTCTCTGAAAGACAAGTGCTACTCAAACTACAATTCGGGGAGAAAGAAAAATGATTTTAGAAATTATCTGCTAGCCAAAGATTAGAAACTACTGCTGCTATTTCCAGAGGTGAATGAAAGTGTCTTAAGAAAGACCCTGTGAGAGATTTTAAAGCAGAAAATTATTTTTAAATAGTTCAGATTATAACAGGTTATATAATAAATTAGTCAATTATCACAATAAATCAAAACTCAAATATAATTTGCAAATTTCTTCCTATCCTCAAAAAAAGATCCCTAATTCCAAACCAGAATTATCTGTGAAGCTAAAATTAAAAAGAATAAATGCATTTATAATAGAAGTTTGAGAGGAAATAAGAATTGTTCCATACTGCATAAGAAAGTTGCATTTTAAATCATGAAGGCACAGTTGCTCAAAATCACAGCTTCGCTTTCTCAATTTGCCCTACAATTTAACATAATTTGCTATTTGTCCAATATTGCTTTGTATTCAAAATCACTCTACAGTCTTATGAAATAGAAATGATTTATAATTGCGCATAAGACAGACAATTCATCTCATGAAATATACTCACTTTTAAAAGTGTAATGTTAAAGTACATATATCTCTTCATTCAGGCAGCTATTTTGAGCAGTGTTATAGCACCCAGATCCACACATCTTTAAAGCTTTGTAATCCAATAAATTTAAAGCACAGATTTGCAATAATAGAATGTCATCCTGATAAGTACGATCCAGATGGAAAGCACACAGAAGTGGAACCAAACAACAGTCCCCTGCCTCATTTTCCTCATGTGGAGATCAGTATATAACCTCATGTGTCTGAAGGAGTGATAAAAGAATAAGATGTGGTACATACATGAAAGAATTTGAATGCACTATTGTTATTATGATGAAACTGATAAAATCTCCCATATTGAAAAATCTGTAACATTCAAATTACCTTCCTATACGTTCTTAAGTGTCTGGTCTATTTTAAGCTGTCTTTATAAATATGTCCTGTAAGATTATATATGCAACTAGCATAAAGAGAATTCAGCAGAAAATGTAAAATTTAAAGTAAGGTTATTATTTCAGTTATGAATTCAGAGTATGGGTATGCTATGATAGTACAACTTAGGAGTTAAAATGGTAAGTAAAAGGGAAAACCAACTTTGATGGGACAAATCCACCAAACTATAAATACCACCTACTGATTCTGTGACCTTGGATGTATTAATATTTCTAAGCCTTTGTTTCCACAGTTGTAAAATGAGTATACTAACCAGAACAAATATTATATAATCCTTAAAAAAACTAAGTATCTGGTGCTTAGTGAGTGTTTAATAAATGTAAGCTGTTGTTTTAATCTAGACAAGGCCAAATGCATTTAAAAGTACCTCCTATAGACTGTTCTGAAACTTTGGTGGCAACATCAATAGATCATGTATCATCTTTTCACTAGTAAGCAAAGAACATTAAATTGAAAAGAAAATAGAGATGCCATTTCCTATCTATCCAGTTAATAATAAAATAATAAATTAAAATAATAAAATTTAATAGTGCTGAGGCCATGGTGAAACTGCATATTTATACATTACTTATTGATTACAACGCACACTGTTACAATATCTTTGCTGGGCAATCTGAGAGCAGGTAATAAACACGATGAAATGATGAAAAAAAAGTACTTACTCTACACACTGTCCCAATTCCCTTTTATTTGATCACAGTATTGAAAATAGAGTTGATTTTTTATGAGTCAACCATAGGAAAAGGATAAAATCTTTAATCTCAGATGTGCTCTGAAAACCAAAATTTCTGTTGCCACTGAAATATTAAAGTATAAATCTATATAATCACTTTAATTGAATTTTTAAAACCTTCAAAAATATAACAATAGTCAGCAATAATCAGTCCTAAATATGTGTGACCAAATCAATTGATATTTCTGCACAACTATGATTCATATCTTATACATTGTCTGAAACTGAACTGACAACATGTGTTGAATCAGCCTGTTTTAAAACTTAAATTTTCTTTAAGATTAATAATATTTTCTCTTGTCACATTCTAAATTTTTTTCTTTGCTTCAACAAACAAAAATAATGTGTGATAGTAAAATAGTGTGATCTTTTTATCTTTTAGCTATAAAGAATAAATTAACAGAAACAAAATCTAATGAATTAAATTAAAAATTAAGTATTTTTTCTAAGCTTATCATCGCCAAATAATACAATACCAAAACTAAAATCTACAATTAAGGTTTATGTTTTTAGCATGGTTTTTTATTGTGTTAAACAAAATTACCTTGGACAAAATTACCACTATATAGAAGGAATAAATACTAGTGTTCTATACCGTTGTGGGATGACTCTAGTTAACAATAATATATTACAGAGTTTCAAATAGCTAGGAGGACATTGAATGTTCCCAACATAAAGAAATGATAATGTTTGAGATCATAGATATGCTAATTACCATGATATGATCACTATACATTATAAATCAAAACATAATTATGTACCACTTCAATATATGCAATCATTATGTCAATTAAAATTTTTTATCTTGTTTTAATGTGCATTATTTCACTAAGAACTGCCCTCTCTCCCCTTCATGTTGAGATACAATAAGTCAAGGCAGATACATCAGTTATTCCTTTCTTTTCATTTATTATCAGGCCAAGAAATATCCATGTACTGTTCTTTGGAGTGTAGGTATCTAGATTACGTGGGATTCATTTCATTAGTTTATTTGGTAAGCTGTCAAATACAAGTTAAACAACAATTAAACTGTATTTACAATTTACTAAATTGAAGTCATAAAGATTCTACATGTTCCATGTAAATGACGAGAGGTTATAAAAATGATAATTTATGAATTCCTTATTTTTCAGATGTAGTTGTTTTAATAAAATTTATATACTAGTCAAAAATGGCACTTATTCAATGCTGAAATTTAAAAACTCTCAATGTGGAATTAAGTTTCAGTAAAAATGAAAAAGCTGATTGTGGAGTCAAGATGGCAGACAGGAGACAGGGCTGACATGCAGCTCCCACTTGGACAGACAGAACAATGTGTGGGGACTCACAATGTGGACTTTTAATCCAGGAACCACCACAGGAATGTACCAGGAAAACTAAAAGAATTCACAGATGCTTTGAAAGAAGTGGCAAGCCACTGCAAGTTCTGAAAGACAGGCCAAAAACTCTGGGGCTCTCTTGAAAGCGCCACCTCCTGGATGGAGGCCGACCAACTTAGGACATTACAGCAACTCATGACAGAACAATCCTGTTCCAAGGAGGGAGAAGACAACAGCTAATTTCACTGCCTGCAAAATCCCAGCAAACCAGTGGTTCTCAGTGTGTCCACGTGACAACTTTACTGCTGGCATAACCAGCATTCAAGAAAGCCAGCATCCTCAACGTGTCTAAAACCAAGGACTCTCACACAGTCTATTTCACAGCCCTGCCAACTCCACCAGAGCAGGTACTGGTATCCATGGCTGGGAGACCTGAAGAAGGATCACATCACAGGATTCTTTACAGACATTTCCCAGCACTAACACAGAGCCTAGTAACCCTGCTAGGTGTCTAAACCCAGAGGAGCAATAACAGTCACTGAAGTCTGGCTTGCAGGAAGTCCCATCCCTAGGGAAAGAAGAAATGTACCACATCAAGGGATCACCCATGGGACAAAAGAATCTGAACAGCAGCCCTTGAGTTCCATATTTTTCCACTGAAACAGGTTGCTCAAATGAGAAGGAATCGGAAAAGTAATTCTGGTAATGTGGCAAAACAAGATTCTATAACATGCGCAAGGGATCCAAACCAAGAAGAAATCTCTGATTTGCCAGATAAAGAATTCAGAAGGTTGATTACTAAACTACTCAAGTAGATACCAGAGAAAGATGAAAACCAGCTTAAAGAAATTAAGGAAAAAATACAGTATATGGATGAAAAATGCTCCAGAAAAACAGATACCATAAAGAAAAACAATTACAACTTCTGGAAATGAAGTACACACTTAGAGAAATAAAAAAAGGCACTGGAAAATTTCGACAATAAAATTGAATGAGTAGAAGAAAGAACTTCAGAGCTCAAAGTCAAGGTCTTTAACCCAATCAGAAAAAGACAAATAATTTTTAAAGAATAAACAAACCCGGCCGGGCGCGGTGGCTCACGCCTGTAATCCCAGCACTTTGGGAGGCCGAGGCAGGCGGATCACGAGGTCAGGAGATCGAGACCATCCCGGCTAAAATGGTGAAACCCCGTCTCTACTAAAAATACAAAAAATTAGCCGGGCGTAGTGGCGGGCGCCTGTAGTCCCAGCTACTTGGGAGGCTGAGGCAGGAGAATGGCGTGAACCCGGGAGGCGGAGCTTGCAGTGAGCCGAGATCCCGCCACTGCACTCCAGCCTGGGCGACAGAGCGAGACTCCGTCTCAAAAAAAAAAAAAAAAAAAAAGAATAAACAAACCCTCCAAAAAATTTAGGATTATGTTAAACAGCCAAACCTAAGAATAACTGGTGTTCCTGAGGAGGAAGAGGATCCAAATACAATGAGGCTCAAAGAACACCTGGGAAATAAATCACAAAAAGATGACCACCAGCAAAAAGATCATCACCCAGGCACGTAGCCATCAGGTTATCTAAGGAAAGAATCTTAAGAGCTGCGAGGCAAAAGCAAGCGGTAACCTAAAGGAACATAAAGTGGTAACATAAAGGAAAACCTACCAGATTAACAGCAGATTTCTCAGCAGAAACCCTACAAGCCAAAAGGGATTAGGGTCCTAACTTTAGCATCCTCAAACAAAATACTTACAAACCAAGAACTCTGTATCCAGCAAAACTAAGCTTCAAAATGGAGAGATAAAGGATTTTTCAAAGAAATAAATGCTGAGAGAATTCATCACCACCACACCAGCACTACAAGAATCTTGAAACAAACCCTTGAAATGCACCAAAATTGAACCTCCTTGAAGCATAAATCTCATGGGGCCTATAAAACAATAACACAATGAAGAAAAAACAAAGTATTCTTTGGGAGGCTGAGGCAGATGGATCACTATGTCAGGAATTCAAGACCAGCCTGGCCAAGATGGTAAAACCCTATCTCTACTAAAACTACAAAAATTATCCAGGTGCAGTGGCAGGTGCCTGTAATCCCAGCTACTCAGGAGGCTGAGGAAGTAGAATCACTTGAACCCAGGAGGCAGAGGTTACAGTGAGCCGAGATTGCACCACTGCACTCCAGCCTAGGCAACAGAGTGAGATTCTGTCTCAAAAAAAAAAAAAAAACAAAACACAACACAGACACACACACACACACAAACAAAAACAAACAAACAAACAAAGTATTCAGGCAATAACTAGTGTGATGAATAAAATAGTACCTCACATCCCAATACTAACACTGAGTGTAAATGACCTAAAGGCTCCACTTAAAAGATACAGAATGGTAGAATGGATTAAAAATCCACCAACCAAGTATATGCTATCTTCAAGAGACTTACCTAAGGCATAAGGATTCACATAAACTTAAGGTAAAGGGGTGGAAAAAGATATTTCATGTAAATGGAAACGAAAAGCAATCAGGAATAGCCATTCTTATATCAGACAAAACAGACTTTAAAGCAACAACAGTTAAAAAAGACAAAGAGGGAAATCATACAATGATGAAAGGACTAGTCCAACAGGAAAATATCACAATCCTAAATATGTATGTACCTAACGCAGCACTCCTAAATTTATAAAACAATTATTACTAGATATAAGAAATGAGATAGATGGCAACCCAATAATAGGGGACTTCAATACTCACCTGACAGCACTAGACAGGTCATTAAGAGAGAAAGTCAACAAAATAATGGACTTCAAATGGACTTAACAGATATTTAGAGAACATTCTACCCAACAACTGCAGAGTATACATTTTTTTCATCAGCACATGGAAAATTCTCGAAGATAGACCAATAAATTAATAAATTAAACAAGTCTCAATAAATTAAGGAAAATCAAAATTATATCCAGTGCCCTCTCAGACCACAGGGGAATAAAACTGGAAATCGACTCAAAAAAAACCCTCAAAACTAAACAAATACAGGCAAATAAAATAATCTGGTCCTGAATGATCTTTGGGTCAACAATGAAATCAAGATAGAAATTTAAACATTCTTTGAACTAAACAATAATAGTGACACAACATATTAAAACTTCTAGGACACAGCAAAAGCAGTGCTAGGAGGAAAGTTCATAGCATTAACTGCCTACATCAAAAAGTCCAACAGAGCACAAACAGACAATCTAAGGACACAACTCAAGGAACTAGAGAAAGAACAAAATCCAAACCCAGCAGAAGAAAAGAACCAACATTAGAGCAGAACTAAATGAAATTGAAACAAACAACAAAAAATACAAAAAATCAATGAAATAAAAAGCTGGGTTTTTGAAAAGATGAACAAAATTGATAGACCATTAGTGCAACTAACCAAGAAGAGAAAATATCCGAATAAGCTCAATTAGAAATGAAATGGGAGATACTGCAACCAATACCACAGAAATACAAAAGATCATTCAAGGCTACTATAAACACCTTTATGCATGAATCTAGAAAATCTAGAGGAAATGGATAAATTCCTGAAAATATACAACCCTCCTAGATTAAATCAGGAAGAAATGAAAACTCTGATCAGATCAATAATGAGTAATAAGATTGAAATAGTAATTTTAAAAACTGCCAACAACTACAACAAAAGTCCAGGACCAGAAGGATTCACAGATGAATTCTGTCAGGTGTTTAAAGAATAATTGGTACCAACCTTTCTGAAACTAGTCCAAAAGACAGAGAAGAAGGGAATCCTCCCTAAATCATCATATAAAGCCAGTATCACCCTAATACCAGAACCAGGAAAGGACAGAACAAAAAAAGAAAACTACAGACCAACATTCCTGATGAACATAGATGCAAAAATCCTCAATAAAATACTAGTAAACCAAATCCAACAGCATATCAAAAAGATAATCCACCATGATCAAGTGAGCTTCAAATCAGAGATGCAGGGATGATTTAATATATACAAGTCAATAAATGAGACACACCACATAAACAGAATTAAAAACAAAATCATATAATCAACAGATGCAGGAAAAGCACTGACAAAATCCAGCATCCCTTTACAATTAAAACCCTCAGCAAAATTGGCATAAAAGAGCCATACCTTAAGGTAATAAAAGCCATCTATGACAAACCCACAGACAACATTACACTGAATGGGGAAAAGTTGAAAGCATTCCTCCTGAGAACTAGAACAAGAAAAAGATGCCCACTTTGACCACTTCTATTCAACATAGTACTGAAAAGTTCTAGCCATAGCAATCAGACAAAAGAAATAAATAAAGGGTATCCAAATTGGTAAAGAGGAAGTCAAACTGTCGCTGTTTGCAGATGATATGATCGTTTACCTAGAAAACACTAAATACTCATTCAAAAAGCTCCTGGATCTGACAAATAAGTTCAGTAAGATTTCAGGATGCAAAATGAATGTACACAAATCAGTAGCACTGCTGTACACCAATATCGACCAAGCTGAGAATCAAATCAAGAACTCAACCTTTTTTACAACAGCTCCTCACCCTCCTAAAAAAATATTTAGGGAGTTTCGAAAGATCTCTACAAGGAAAACTACAAAACGTTGCTGAAGGAAATCATAGATGGCACAAATGAATGGAAACATATCCCATGCTCACGGATTGGTAGAATCAATATTGTGAAAATGACCACACTGCCAAAAGCAATCTACAAATTCAATGCAATTCCTATCAAAACACTATCATCATTCTTCACAGAACTAGAAAAAAAAAATCCTAAAAATTTCTATGGAACAAAAAAAGAGCCTGCATAGCCAAAGCAAGAATAAGCAAAAAGAACAAATCTGGAGGCATCACATTACCTGACTTCAAATTATACTACATGGCTATACCAAAACAGCATGGTACTGGTATAAAAATAGGCATGTAGAAAAAAGGAACAGAATAGAGAACCCAGAAATAAACCCAAATATTTACAGCCAACTGATGTTTGACAAAGCAAACAAAAACATGAAGTGGGGAAAGGATACCCTATTCAACAAAAGGTGTTGGGGTAATTGGAAAGCCACATGTAGAAGAATGAAACTGCATCCTCACCTCTCACCTTATACAAAAATCAATTCAAGATGGATCAAAGACTTAAATCTAAGATCTGAAACCATAAAAATTCTAGATAACACTGGAAAAAACTCTTCTAGACATTGGCTTAGGCAAAGAGTTCATGACCAAGAATCCAAAAGCAAATGCAACAAAAACAAAGGTAAATAGATGGGACCTAATTAAACTAAAAAGCTTCTGCACAGCAAAGAATGTTTTCAGCAGAGTAAACAGAAAACCCCAAGAGTGGGAGAAAATCTTTGCCATCTATACATCCGACACAGGACTAATACCCAGAATCTATAGAGAATGCCAATCAGTAAGACAAAAAAAAAATCCCATAAAAAAGTGGGCTAGGGACATGAATAGACAGTTCTCAAAGAAGATATATATAAGTGGCTAACAAATGTATGAAAAAATGCTCAACATCACTAATGATCAGGGAAATGCAAACCGAAACCACAGTGTGATACCACCTTACTCCTGAAAGAATGGCCATAATTAAAAGACAAAAAACATAGATGTTGGCATGGATGTGGTGAAAAGGGAACACTTTTACACGGCTGGTGGGAATGTAATCTAGTATAACCACAATGGAAAACAGTATGGAGTAACTAACCTGCACAATGTGCACATGTACCCTAAAACTTAAAGTATAATAAAAATAAATAAATTAAAAAAAAAAAAACTTAAAAGTAGAACTACTATTTGACCTAGCAATTTAACTACCAGGTAGCTACACAGACAAAAGAAAGTCATTATATGAAAAAGACACCCACACACTCACGTTTATTGCAGCAGAATTCTCAACTGCAAAAAGATAGAACACCCTAAATGCCATCTATCAATGAGTGGATAAAGAAAAGCTGGTACATATATATACAGCATGGAATACTACTGAGCTATAAAAAGGAAGAAAATAATGACATTTGCAGCAACCTGGATGGAGTTGGACACCATTATTCTAAGTAAAGTAACTCAGTAATGAAAAACCAAACATCATATGTTCTCACTTATATGTGGGAGCTAAGCTATGAAGATGCAAAGGCATAAAAACGTTATAAGGGACTATGGGGACTTGGGAGGAAAGGTGGGAGTGGGATGAGGGATAACAGACTACACATTGGGAACAGTGTACACTGCTTGGGTGATGGGTGCACCAAAATCTCAGAAATCACTACTAAAGAACTTTTTCATGCAACCAAACACCACCTGTTCCCCCAAAACTACTGACATAAATAAATAAATAAAATGAAATAATTTTTTTAAATGAAAAAGCTACACCAGGATATAGTTACCAGTTCTTATATAACAAATAATTTCATTCAAACAAATATTTATTGTATGTACATTTAATACCTGAAACATATATCTCTAAAAAATAAAAACAGATGCACACAACTTATACTTGAATATTGGAATACCCTCGTGAACTATGGGTCACAAGATCCTAGAGTGTTTTAGAAAAGCACAGTGCCTAATTGTTTCTGTTTGATTATATTAAATGGCTTTTCTCTGAATTTGATAGCTTTTTAATATTTAACTTGATTTCGATGAGCATGTAGTGGTAAATTTAACTCCAGCCACTTTCACTAGTTTGCTGACAGTAGTTAAGAGTTAAAAGTCCTAGACAACCAAACTCTTGCTCCTTATTTGTAACTGCATATTCTTACATATTTTTCCTTTCTATATTGAGAGCTAGATTAATATACCTTACTACATACTTAACATTAAAAAATTTAAAAATTCATCTATGAAGATGATTGCTTTTGAAAGCTGGATCTGGCCACTGCACTCCAGCCTGGGTGACATGGTGAGACTCCATTTAAAAATAAAATAAAATAGAATAAAATAAAAAATTTTTAAAATAAAGAAAGCTGGATCTGAAATATTTAAATTTAATTATAGGCATTAGTTCTTTGAAATGAATTTCCTATCTAACCCAATACTAATTATAAGAATATTTTTGGCTGGGCGCTGTGGCTCACGCCTGTAATCTCAGCACTTTGGGAGCCCGAGGCGGGTGGACCACGAAGTCAAGAGATCGAGACCATCCTGGCCAACATGGTGAAACCCCGTCTCTACTAAAAATACAAAAAAGCCATGTGTGGTGGTGGGCGCCTATAGTCCCACCTACTCGGGAGGCTGAGGCAGGAGAATCACTTGAACCCGGGAGGCAGAGGTTGCAGTGAGCCAAGATTGTGCCACTGCACTCCAGCCTGGGCAACAGAGCAAGACTCTGTCTCAAAAAAAAAAAAAAAAAAAAGAATATTTTTGCCAGGAAGGGTGACTCATGCCTGTAATCCCAGCACTTTGGGAGGCCAAGGTGGGCAGATCACCTGAGGCCAGGAGTTTGAGACCAGCCTGGCAAACATGGTGAAACCCCATCTTTACTAAAAATACAAAAAAATTAGCCAGGCGTGGTGGTGAGTGCCTGTAATCCCAGCTACTTGGGAGGGTGACGCAGGAGAATCACTTGAACCTGGGAGGCAGAGGCTGCAGTAAGCCGAGATTGCACCACTGCACTCTAGCCTGGGTAACAGAGAGAGACCCTGTCTCAAAAAAAAAAGAAAGAGTATTTTTCTATGCTATATTTCATTGTAAACAAAAAGTTGAATTCTTAAAAAAAAAAATTGCCTAACACATGCTACTTCAAGAACTACACACTATTTAACAGGCATAAACTTAAGATATTTTCCAAAAATACTACATCCCTTCCAGGAACAACATTTCTCTGCTTAGTAGTTAGCCTTGATGTCTTAGGTTTAAATATTAATGTATATGAACATTAAAAAGGTAGTTTGCAAAATGTTAATCTGTATATAGTGACACCAGAAAATGCCTCATCAAGGCAAAATCACATTTAATTAGTTTTTTTGAAATCCTTGCTGGTTTTACTCTTTCTCTCAACAGTGGTTGTTGGCCATTCTGATATATTCAACATTAAGGAGATCTAACATCCATGATCCAAAATCCATAGTAGTTGCTTCTCTCATCTTAGGGCAAGCGGTAGTCTTAGGAATAAGTACAAAATCCACAATGGTGGATGATTTCCATGAATATGAAGATTCCCTCACTGCCCTCCACTGCATATAACACTTTATTATTCAAAATCACAAAACTAAAAGCTCTAATAAAAAGTGAAATTCTCAATTGCCCCTTGTACTATAGTGGCAACAAAAACAATGAAATGATATAAATAAAGTAAAAACATTTTGAGGTTTATTGCATTTCAAATGGAAATGATCTTAAGTAAATATAAAAGAAACAAAAGCTTCCATGTATAGAAATTACACATCCAGGTGTATATCCAAATATAAACGTGCATATCTATTAAAAAACTCATGTGTCATTCATTTATATTTTATTTTATTTTGAGACAGGGTCTCATTCTGTTGCCCAGGCTGGAGTGCAGTGGTGCCATCATTGCTCACTGCAGCCTTGAACTCCTGTCTCAAGCAACCCTCTTGCCTTGGCTCCCAAGTGTTGGGATTACAGGTGTGAGTCACTGCACCTAGCCTATATATACATTTTTATTTTTTTATTTTTCAGTTTATTGGGGTACAGGTGGTGTTTGGTTACATGAGTAAGTCCTTTAGTGATTTGTGAGATTTTGGTGCACCCATCACCCAGCAGTATACACTGCACCCTATTTGTAGTCTTTTATCCCTTGCCACCCCAACCTTCCCAAGTCCCCAGAGTCCATTGTATCATTCTTATGCCTTTACATCCTCATAGCTTAGCCCCCACATATCAGTGAGAACATACAATGTTTGGTTTTTCTGTTTCTGAGTTACTTCACTTAGTATAATAGTCTCCAATCTCATCGAGGTTGCCGTGAATGCCATTAATTCATTCCTTTATATGGTTGAGTAGTATTCTATCATATATGTATATATATATGATGGAATATATATATATTCTATATATATGTGACGGAATATATATATATTCTATATATATGTGACGGAATATATATATATTCTATATATATGTGACGGAATATATATATATTCTATATATATGTGACGGAATATATATATATTCTATATATATGTGACGGAATATATATATTCTATATATATGTGATGGAATATATATGTGTGACAGAATATATATATTCTATATATATGTGATGGAATATATATATATTCTATATATATTCTCTCTCTATATTCTATATATATATGATGGAATATATATATTCTCTATATATATTCTATATATATGATGGAATATATATATTCTCTATATATATTCTATATATATGATGGAATATATATATTCTCTATATTCTATATATATGATGGAATATATATATTCTCTCTATTCTCTCTATATATTCCATACATATTCTATATATACTATATATATTCTATATATTCTATATATATATTCTATATATATTCTCTCTATTCTATATATATGATGGAATATATATTCTCCCTATATATTCTATATATATTCTCTATATACTATATATATTCTATATATTTTCTCTATATATTCTATATATATTCTATATATATAGATAGATATATCTATATATATATCACAGTTTCTATATCGACTCTTTGATTGATGGGCATTTGCGTTGGCTCCATGATGTTGCAGTTGTGAACTGTGTTGCTATAAAAGTGTGTGTGCAAGTATCTTTATCATGTAATGACTTCTTTTCCTCTGGGTAGATATCCAGTAGTGGGATTGCTGGATCACATGGTAGTTCTACTTTTAGGCCTTTAAGAACTCTCCACACTGTTTTCCATAGTGGTTGTACTAGTTTACATTCCCACCAGCAGTGTAGAAGTGTTCCATGATCACTGCATCCATGTCAGTCAACATCAGTTTTTTTATTTTTTGATTATGCCCAATTCTTGCAGGAGTAAGGTGGTATCACACTGTGGTTTTGATTTGCATTTCCCCGATTATTAGTGATGTTGAGCATTTTTTCATGTTTTTTGGCCATTTGTATATCTTCTTTTGTTTTGAGAACTGTGTATGTCCTTAGCCCACTTTTTGATGGGATTTTTTTTCTTGCTGATTTGTTTGAGATTGTCGTAGATTCTGGATATTAGTCCTATGTCAGATGTGTAGATGGCAAAGATTTTCTCCCACTCTGTGGGTTGTCTGTTTACTCTGCTGACTGTGACTTTGGCTGTGCAAAATCTCTTTAGTTTAATTAAGTCACAGCTATTTATCTTCGTTTTTATTGCATTTGCTTTTGGGTTCTTGGTCATGAAACCCAAAACTGCCTAAGCCAATGTCTAGAAGGGTTTTTCCAATGTTATTTTCTAGAATTCTTATACTTTTGGCTCTTAAAGTCCTTAATCCATCTTGAGTTGATTTTTATATAAGGTGAGAGATGAGGATCCAGTTTCATTCTCCTACAGGTAGCTAGCCAATCTGTATCCCAGCACCATTTGTTAAAAAGGGTGTCCATTCCCCATTTTATGGTTTTGTTTGCTTTGTCGAAAATCAGTAGGCTGTAAGTATTTGGGTTTATTCCTGGGTTCTCTATTCTGTTCCATTGGTCTATATGCCTATTTTTATACCAGTACCATGCTGTTTTGGTGACTATGGCCTTATAGTATAGTTTGAAGTCAGGTAATGTGATGGCTCCAGATTTGTTCTTTTTGCTTAGTCTTGCTTTGGCTATACAGGCTTTTTTGGTTCCATATGAATTTTAGAATTGTTTTTTCCTAATTCTGTGAAGAATGATGGTGGTATTTTGATGGGAATTGCATTGCATTTGGAGATTGCTTTTGTCAGTATGGTCATTTTCACAATATTGATTCTACCTATCAATGAGCACGGGACGTGTTTCCATTTGTTTGTGTCATCTATGATTTCTTTCAGCAGGTTTTGTAGTTTTCCTTGTAGAGGTCTTTCCCCTTCTTGGTTAGGTATATTCCTACGTATTTTTTTTTTTTTTTTTTGCAGCTATTGTAAAAGGGGTTGAGTTCTTGATTTGATACTCCACTTTGTTGCTACTGGTATATAGAAGAGATAGTGATTTGTGTATATTAATTTTGTATCCAGAAACTTTGCTGAATTCTTTTATCAGTTCTAGGAGTTTTCTGGAGGAGTCTTTAGGGTTTTTGAAGTAAATGATCATATCATCAGCAAACAGTGACACTTCTGACTTCCTCTTTATGGATTTGGATGCCCTTTATTTCTCCTCTCTGATTGCCCTGGCTAGGACTTCCAGTACTATGTTGAAGGGGAGTGGTGAGAGTGGGCATCCTTGTCTTGTTCCAGTTCTCAGAGGGAATGCTTTCAACTTTTCACCATTGAGTATTATGATGGCTGTGGGTTTGTCATAGATGGCTTTTACTACATTGAGGTATGTCCCTTGCATGCCAATGTTACTGTGAGTTTTAATTATAAAGGAATGCTGAAGTCTGTTGAATGCTTTTTCTGCATCTATTGAGATGATCTTGTAATTTTTGTTTTTAATTCTGTTTATGTAGTGTATCACATCTATTCACTTATGTATGTTAAGCCATCCCTGCATCCCTAGTATGAAACCCACTTGATCATGGTGGATTGGCTTTTTGATATGCTGTTGGATTTGGATAACTAGTATTTTGTTAAGGATTTTGGCATCTGTGTTCATTAGAGATATTGGTCTTCAGTTTCTTTTTTGGTTATGTCCTTTTCTGGTCTTGATATTAGGGTGATGCCGGCTTCATAGAATGATTTAGGGAGGGTTCCCTCTTTCTCTATCTGGAATTGTGTCAATAGGATTGGTACCAATTCTTCTTTGAATGTCTGATAGAATTCTGCTGTGAATCTCTCTGGTCCTGGACATTTCTTTGTTGGTAATTTTTAAATTACCATTTCAATCTCACTACTTGTTATTGGAGTGTTCAGGGTATCTAATTCTTCCTGATTTAAGCTAGGAGGGTTGTATCTTACAAAGAATTTATCCATCTCTTCTAGGTTTTCTAGTGTATGCACATAAAGTTATTCATAGTAGCCTTGAATGATCTTTTGTATTTCTGTGGTGTCAGTTATAATAGCTCCCGTTTTGTTTCTTATTGAGGTTATTTGGATTTTCTCTCTTCTTTTCTTGGTTAATGTTGCTAATGGTCTATCAATTTTATTTATCTTTTCAAAAAACCAACTTTTCATTTATCTTTTGTATTTTTTTTCTTTCAATTTCATTTAGTTCTGCTCTGATCTTGGTTATTTCCCTTCTTTTTCTGGGTTTGGGTTTGGTTTGTTCTTGTTTCTCTAGTTCCCTGAGGTGTGACCTTAGATGATCAGTTTGTGCTCTTTCAGTCTTTTTGATGTAGGTGTTTAGGGCCATGAACTTTCCTCTTAGCACCACATTTGCTGTATCCCTGAGGTTTTGATAAGTTGTGTCACTGCTGTCATTCAGTTTGAAGAATTTTTAAGTTTTCATCTTGATTTCATTTTTGACCCAATGATCATTCAGGAGCAGGTTATTTAATTTCCATGTATTTGCATGGTTTTGAAGGTTTATATTGGAGTTGATTTCCAGCTTTATTACACTGTGGTCAGAAAGAGTGCTTGACATAATTTCAATTTTCTTAAATTTATTGAGGCTCATTTTGTGGTCTATCACATGGTCTATCTTGGAGAAAGTTCCATGCACTGTTGAATAGAATGTATATTCTGTGGCTTTGGATGGAATGTTCTGTATATATCTGTTAAGTCTATTTGTTCCAAGGTATAGTTTAAATCCATTGTTTCTTTGTTGACTTTCAGTCTTGATGACCTGTCTAGTGCTGTCAGTGGAGTACTGAAGTCCCCCACTATTACTGTGTTGTTGTCTATCTCATTTCTTAGGTCTAGCAGTAATTGTTTTATAAATTTGGGAGCTCCTCTTTTAGGTGTGCAGCTCCCAAATATGTTTAGGATTGTGATATTTTCCTGTTGGACAAAGCCTTTTACCATTATATAATGTCCCTCTTTGTCTTTTTTTTAATTGCTGTTGCTTTAAAGTTTTGTCTTTTGTAAGAATAGCTACTCCTCGCTTTTGGTGTCCATTTGCATGAAATGCCTTTTTCTGCTTCTTTAAGTTTATGTGAGTCTTTATGTGTTAGGTGAGTCTCTTGAAGGCAGCAGATAGTTGGTTGGTGAATTCTTACCCATTCTGCTGTTCTGTTTCTTTAAAGTGGAGCATTTAGGCCATTTACATTCAATGTTAGTATTGAGATGTGTGAGGTACCATTCCATACGTCATGCTATTTGTTGCCTGTGTACCCTGGTTTTTGTTTGTTTGTTAACTTGTATTTTTGTTTTGTTGGTCCTGTGAGATTTATGCTTTAATGACATTTTGTTTTGATGCGTTTCCATGATTTGTTTCAAGATTTAGAGCTTCTTTTAGCAGTTCTTGTAGTGGTGGCTTGTTAGTGGTGAATTCTCTTGGCATTTGTTTGTCTGAAAAAGACTGTATCTTTCCTTCATATTTGATGCTTAGTTTCACTAGATACAAAATTCTTGGGTGATCATTGTTTTGTTTGAGGAGGCTCAAGATTGGGCCCCAATCCCTTCTAGCTTGTAGGGTTTCTGCTGAGAAGTCTGCCATTAATCTGATAGGTTTTGCCTTACAGGTTACCTGGTACTTTTGTCTCACAGCTCTTAAGATTCTTTCCTTCATCTTAACTTTAGTTAACCTGATGACAATGCGCCTGGGTGATAATCTTTTTGCAATGAATTTCCCAGGTGTTCTTTCTGTTTCTTGTATTTTGATGTCTAGGTCTCTAGCAAGGCCTGGGAAGTTTTCCTCAATTATTTCCCCAAATATGTTGTCCAAACGTTTAGATTTGTCTTCTTCCTCAGGAACGCTGATTATTCTTAGGTTTGGTGGATTAACATAATCCCAGACTTCTTGGAGGCTTTGTTCATATTTTCATATTCTTTTTTCTTTGTCTTTGTTGGATTGGGTTAATTCGAAGATCTTATCTTCAAGCTCTGAATTTCTTCTACTTGTTCAATTCTATTGCTGAGATTTCCCAGAGCATTTTGCATTTCTATAAGTGTGTCCAGTGTTTTGTGAAGTTTTGGGGTTTTTTTATTTATACTATCTATTTCATTGAATGTTTCTCCCTTCACTTCGTGTATTGTTTTTTTTTTGGATTTCCTTGCATTAGGCTTTGCCTTTCTCTGGTGCCTTCCTGATTAGCTTAATAACTAATATGAATTCTTTTGCAGGTAAATCAGGGATTTCTTCTTGGTTTGGATCCACTGTTGGTGAGCTACTGTGATTTTTTTTCTGGGGGGGAGGGGCGGTGTTAAACAGCCTTGTTTTGTCATATTACCAGAGTTGGTTTTCTGGTTCCTTCTCATTTGGGTAGCCTCTGTCAGAGGAAAGGTCTAAGGCTGAAGGCTGTTGTTCAGATTCTTTTGTGCCATGGGTGCTCCCTTGATGTAGTACTCTCCCCCTTTTCCTGTGGATATGGCTTCCTAACAGTGAAGTTGTAGTTACTGTTATCTCTCTTCTGGATCTAGCCACCCAGCAAATCCACCAGGCTCCGGGCTGGTACTGGGGGTTGTGTGCACAGAGTCCTGTGATGTGAACCATCTATGGGTCTCTCAGCCATGGATACTAGCAAAATATTTGGGGTGTCTCCTGGGTCCTGCAGGAGAAATCTGCTTCTTTCAGAGGGTCTGTGGGTCCTCTCGGGTTTTCTGATTATTCCTGCAGTCGTTATGGAGCTAAAATTCATGATGAGAGCCTACACATCCTGCTCTGTCTGTCCAAGTCAGAGCTGCAATCTAGTCCTGCCTCCTGTCGGCCATGATCCCAGCCTATATTTTCTTTTATGTATTTTAACCTTTTCCAAAAAAGATAAATATTTAAGACCCTCAGATTAATTATTTTCTATTGTTATAATTCCTAGAAAATTATGACCATCAGAAGTTATATGGTTCCCTGTCAAAGTTATTAAACCCATATGCTAGGGATAAAAGTGAAATGAATGCATAGTTATTGATCATGGGTAGCAGATAGTTTCTTGAAAGCATTTAAAGTTTAATGTGAATGACACTGAAGAGCAAACATATAAATCATTGAAAATTTCTTCAAATTGAAACAAAATCTCTGTCTTATATCAAATTTTGCCAAATTGCTGACAGTACTAGAATGATTGTCTGGAGTTAAAAAAAAATCTAATCCTTTTTCCAGAGTTCACTTTTTCAAATGCTTTATAATTATTACCATGTCTTTTAAGTTTTTTTTTTTTTAAAGGCAAAGGGTTATAGAATATTTTAACTTTTATATATAGAAGGAAAATAGTTATACCTCTCACCATCCTGGTCAATCTTTCCTAAATAGTCTCAAGTTTTTCAGGATTAAGTTGGGTATGCAACATAAATTAAATTATATTGTGGTATAGCATTAATCTATTTGCCCATCATCTGTCTGCCTGACTGACCATCCCTCCACATCCATCCATCCATCCATCCATCCATCCATCCATCCATCCAACTAGTTATTGATCCGTACTATGATAGGCTGCCTCTAACATAGACCCAAGTGATCCTTGACTCCTTTTATTTAAGTCTGAATGTAATTATCTATCCTTGCATGTAGGCTGGACATATTAACTCACTTTTATCAAATAAAATACAGAGCTGACGGGATGTCATTTCAGATTTTAGGTTACAAAAAGATGGCAGATTGCATCTTGGGCACTCTCTTGTATGACTTTTTGGAGAAGCCAGTTTTCATGTTGTGAGAGGCCTGGCAGAGGGGCCCAAATGAGTTCGCTGGGAAGCGGATCACAGAAACCATGAGGTAATAAAAGTTAGTTGTTTCAGGTCACTGAATTTTATAGTAATATGTTACACAACAATAGGTACACCAACTATGCCAGTGGTCAACAAGACAGGCAAGGTCCTGTTTATAGCTGTAGACTCAAGAAACATGAGTTTTCAAAAATTATGTTGCAAATTCATGTTTGATAAAAAAATTAGATGCAAGAAATTGTACAGAAAATATTTTCTGGTAAAAAGTCAATAATAATATTTTAAAAGTAAAAGTACACAGAACCATAAAATCTAGAGATTGCTAATGAAATTCACATTGATTACATCTGCCTTTGTTAAAGAGACACAGTCCTTTTCACATCACTATCACTATCAACAATAATCAATTCGTATGGTGCTTTTTAAGTTAACGATAGCTATTATCTCACATTTTAAAATTCAGTTTTACTGAGTTCAATCTATATACATTAAAATTGATCAAATTTAAGTTGTATAATCTGAGGAGTTTCGATAAATGTATACATAGTTGTGTAAGAAATACAGTAATCACAATATAGAACATTTTCATCACCTCAGAAATGGTCCTTCCTTCTTGTTTGCAGACAATTCCCTCCCTTCGTGATTCTGAGCAATCATAGATCTGCTATTAGCACAGTTTTGTATTTTCCAGAATTTTATACAAATGTATTCAAACAGTACACAGGCTATTGGCATCTGGCTTCTTTTACTCAGTATAATGGTTTTGAGAGTCATACATGGTATTGAAAGGATTGGTAGTTTGTTCCTTCATATCACTGGGAAATATTTCATTATATGGGATATAATACAATTTGTATATCCATTTATCAGTTAAAGAACACTTGAGTTGTTTCCAGTTTTTAGTTATTATGAAAAAGCTGCTATGAATATGCAAATATGAGTCTTTATATAAATATATGTTTTTATTGTTCTTGAGTAAATACCGAGGTGCGGAATTGCTAGCTGGTATAAGTGTATGCCTAACTTTGGAAAACCCTACCAGACTGTTCTGCAAAGTGGTTGTGCTATTTTGCATTCCGATCAGCAAATAAATGTGAACCTCAGTCCATATGCTTATCAATGCATAGTGGTATCAGTCTTTTTAATTTCAGCCTTTTTAGCAGGTGTACAGTAGAACCTCATTGTGGATTTAATTTACCTGCCCCTAATAACTAATAATGTTAAGCAGCATTTCATGTTTAATGGTATATCTACTTTGATGAACTGTCTCTTTAAGTGATTTGTACATTTTAATAGGACTTGCACATTTAAAAACTCCATTATATAGTTGTTATAATAATCTTATTGAATTACAAGAGTTCTTTATCAGAAAATTGTTTTACAGATATTCATTCTGTGGCTTGTTTTTCCATTTTCTTAAGTGGCTTGTTTTTCCATTTTCTTAAGGGTATTTTGTAACAAATGTTTTAAATTTTGACGCAGTTTATCATTATTTCCTCTTACACTTTTTGCTTTTGTGCCCTAAAAAAATTTTTAAATTGTTATATTGCATTAAAAATTTTTTTTCATTCATTTAGAGGGTATATATGCAGATTTGTTACATGGATATATTGCATAGTAGTGGGGTTTGAGCTTCTAGCATACTCATCACCTTAACAATGAACATTGTGCCCAACAGATAATTTTTCAACATTCATCCTCCTCCAGTTCTCCTCTTTTAGAGTCCCCAGTGTATATTACCTACAGCGTTTCCCTCTGTATGTCCATGGATACCCATGTCTAGCTCCAATTTATATATGAGAATATAAGGTATTTGATTTTCTATTCCTGAGTTATTTCACTAAATCTAAAATTACAGATTTTTGCCTGTTTTCTAGAAATCTTAGTGTTCTAGCTGCTGCAATTAGGGTTGTGATCAGTTCTAAGTTAATTTTTATATATACTGTGAGATGAAGGTCAAGGCATTTTTTGGTTTGTATTTTGTTTTCAATGAGACTATTTAATTTTTTCAGCCCCATTTTTTGAGTTAACTATAATTTCCTCCACGGAATTACCTTGGTACCTTTATAAAAAAAAATCAATTCTTCATATCTGCGCAGGTCTGCACTGCAAAGTTCTATTCTGATCCATTAATCTATATTACTATTCTTATACCTCAACCAGATTGCCTTGATTAGTGATGCTTTCAGGCAGGGAAAGTCCTCCGAAATTTTTTTTAACAATAACATCTACAAAATAATCTTCTAAAATTTTTACTAGGGTTATGTTTAATCTACAGACTAATTTAGGGAAAGTTGAAATCTTAACAATATTGAATATTATAATACATTGAACATGGTCTACTTCTTCCCTCATTTAAATTGTCTTTGTGTTCTGTCAGCAATATTTTGTTGTTTTAAGTGTGGAAGTCTGCAATATATTGTTAGATTTACCTTTAAGTATTTAATATTTTGGATGCTGTCATCAATGTTATTTTCAATCTGAATTTTCAATTATTAATGTTGATAGTATATACACTCTGATTTCTGCACATCAACTTCATCTTCTGTAACATGATTGGACAACTTCATCTTCTATAACATGATTGGACTCAGTTATCAGTTCAAGTAGCATCTTTTGTAGATACTTTAGGATTTTCTTCATGGTCATCTGTGTATAAATGACCATATTGCCTGTGAATAAAGAGTTTTACTTCCTCCTTTTCATTCTATGGGCTTTCAATTAGTTATTACTGTCTCAGTGAATTAGCTATGGCCTCTGGTACAATCTTGAATGGAAGTGGTGAGGGTAGAGATATTTGCATTGTTCTTAATACCAAGAGAAAAGCATTAGGTCTTTCACCATTAAGAATGTTATTAGTTGCAGGCTTCACTAAGATCCTATTTATCTCATTGAGGAAATTCCCTTCTATTTCAAGTTTCCTGAGAGCTTTTTTAAAAAAATCTACATCTATTGAGAAGAACAAATGACTTTTACCTTAATCCTATCAGTAAGAAAAATTCCATGGGTTGATTCATAAACATTAAATCAACCATACATTCAAACAATAAATGTCACCTGGCTATTGGATTTATAATCCAATTTGGACTTCTGTATTTACATTCATGAGGAATATTGGTTTGTGATAGTTTGTATTTTAATGCCTTTTAAAAATTATACTATCATAGCAACATTGGCTTCATAAAAGTAGTTGAGAAGTATACCATCTTCTATGTTCTGAAAGAGTATATGTTGAGTTGGTATTATTTCTCCATCTAATGCTAAGATTCACCAGTGAAACAAACAATTTTCTTTTTAAGAGGATCTTAAATCTAAACTCATCTTCATGTATACACATAAACAATTTTTTCTTGAGTGAACTTTGGTAATTTTTCATAGCACTGTCTTCCATAAAATTTAACCATTTAGTCTAACTTGTTGTATTCACTGGCATAAAGTTCTTCATAATATTGGTTAATCCTTAAAGTATCTGTGGAATATGTAATTACACCTTCTCATTCTAACTTGTGTCTTTGTTCTTTTTATATCAAACAAGTCTGACTAAAGATTTACTAACTTTATGTTTTCAAAACTGACTTTTAAAATTTATTTTGTCTAATATCAATATAACCACACTAGTGCTCTTTTGATTAATGCTAGCGTGACACATTTTTTCTATCCTGTTACTTTTAACCTATTTGAGACTTACTTTCTAAAAATATAATATGACAATCTCTGCCTTTAAATTGGTCATTAGACCATTTACATTTAAGAAATTCCTGATAAGTTTGGGTTTAAAGCTACCATTGTGCTGTTAGTTTTCTATACATCTCTTCATTTTTTGTTCCCCTGTGCTCTTTTTCTTTTTTGCATTTTTTGGATAAAGTACTTTTATAATTATGTTTTATCCTTGTTGTATAACTCTTTATTGGTATAACTCTTTGCTGGGGTTTCTTCAGTGTTTATTTATGTCTTATAGCATACCTCTTCAATTTATTTCAGTCTGTCTCCAAGTAATATACTACTACTTCATGCACAGCATAATCACCTTACAAAAGTATACTTCCATGTTGTCATAAAAACCGACATGCTATTGTTCTAAATTTTACTTCTCGATATTATAAATCTCAAACAACACAGTCATGTCCTTTGTTTTAAAAAGTTAATAATCCTTTAAATAATTTTTTAAAAAATGAAGTAGCCTATATTTACCCACATAATTTCTATTTCTCTTCATTTCCTTCTGTAGGTCTAGAATTTCGTTTTATATTATTTACATTATTAAAGACTTCCCCTGACATTTCTTATAATAGTATTCTCCAGGTAATGAATTCTTTTAGCTTCTGTATAGAAGGTCTTCATTTCATCTTCAATTTTGAAAGCTATTTCCTTGAGTATAAAATTCCAATTTTTCTTTCAAAACTTTTAAATTATTATTCACTTTCCTTGGTGATGTATTATTTCTACTGCAAAGTCTACTGTATTCTCATCTTTGGTTCACTGTACACAATATGCCTTTCTTCTCAGAATGCTTTTATAATTTTCTTCTTTACTACTGATTTCAAGTATTTTGATTATGATGTCTCTTCATGTAGTTTTCATCATATTCCTTCTATTTGGGATTTCTTGAATGTCTTGGATCTGTGATATTATAAATCTTAAAAATTTCATCAAATTTGAAAAATTTTCAGCCATTATCTCTTCAGTTATCTTTTCTAGCACCTCTCTCATTCTAACCTTCTGAGATTCCAAAAGCGTATATTAGTAGCTTATAATTATGCCACAGCCTCTTGAAGTTCTGTTCATCCTTTCCTGTCTTTTATTTCTGTGTTTAAATTTTGATACTTTCTATTGTAGTATGTCTTAAAATTAACTAATTTTTTCTTCTGCATATTTGAATCTGTTATCCCATCCAATGTACATTTCATAACACATATGTTTCATTTTAGAAGTTGGAGTAGAACCTTCTTTTTATCTTTTCTGTATCTACTTATCATACTCAGCCCTTTTGCTACCTTATTGTATTTTTGAAATCTAATTATAACAACTATTTTAATGTTTTCATCTACTGCTTTTATTTCTAACATTGCTGGATCTGTTTCAATTAATTTTTCCACTGATTGTGGCTCATATTTTCCTCATTCTTTGCATGCCCAGAAATTGTTGACTGCATGCCAGATATAAAGATATTTTTTGTAATACAATAAGTATTCTTGAGTATTCCTCTGGGACAATTAAAGTACTAAAAAACAAATCTTTCTGAGGCTTGCTTTTAAGGCTTTTGAATGTGGGATCAGAGCTACATTTAGTTTGAGGGTAAGTTCTATTAATTTTTAAATTTTTTAATTGATATAAACATTTGTACATATTTATGGGATAAAAGTGACATTTTCTTACATGCTATACTGTATAATGACCAAATCAGGGTATCTGGAGTCTTCATTACCTCTACTATTTATCATTTCTACGTGCTGGGAACATTTCAAGTGCTCTGTTCTAGCTATTTTGTAATATACATACATTGTTATTAACTTTCTGCTACTGAACATTAAATCTTATTTCTTCTAGGGACTGTATTTTTGTACATTTTAAGCAACCTCTCTTCATCCGCCCACCCACACCCCTACACTCTTCCCAGCCTCTGGTAACTATCATTCTACTCTCTACCTCTATAAGATCAACATTTTTAGCTCCTATATAGGACTGAAAACATGTCATAGTTGTCTCTCTGTGTCTGGCTTATTTCAGTTAACATAATGACCTCCAGTTCCCATCCACGTTGCTACAAATGACATGATTCACCTTTTTTATGGCAAAATAGTATTTCACCGTGTATATATACCACTTAAAAAAATCCATTCATCCTTTGATGGACACTTAGGTAGGTTGATTCCATATCACTGCTATTGTGAATAGTGCTGCAATAAACACTGAGATGCTGCCATCTCTTTGATATACTGATTTCTTTTCTTTAAATAAACACTTAGTAGCAGGACTGCTGGATCATTTGGTAGTTCTATTTTTAGTTTTTTGAGAAGTCTCCTTACTGTTTTCCCTAATGACTGTATTAACTTATATCCCCAGCAGTGGTGTGTAAGAGTTCCTTTTTCTCCACATCCTTGTCAGCGTCTGTTACCTTTTGTCTCTTTAATAACAGCCATTCTAATTGGGGTAAGCGGATATCTTAGTACAGTTTTATTTTGCATTTCTCTGATGATTACTGATGTTGAGCATCTTCACATATATCAGTCATTTCTATGTCTTATTTTGAGAAATGTCTATTCATATCCTTTGCCGACTTTTTAATGAGACTATTTTTGCTTTTTTACTGTTGCTTTGAGTTCCTTTAATATTCTAGATATTAGAATCTTGTTGAACAAATAGTTTATAAATATTTTCTCCCATTCAACAGGCTGTCTCTTCACTCTGTTGTTTCCTTTGCTGTGCAGAAGTCTTTTAGATTAATATAGTCCCACTTATCCTTTTTTTTTTTCATTGCCTGTGCTTCTGAGGTCTTAGCCATAAAGTATTTGCCTAGACCAATGTCCTGAAGTGTTTCCTCTATGCTTCCTTCTAGTTGTTTTGCAGATGTGGGGCTTACATTTCAGTCTTTAATCCATATTGAGTTGATTTTTATATATAGTGAGGGATAAGGGTCCAGTTTCATTCTCCTGCAAATAGATAAGCAATTTTCCCAGCATGATTTATTGAAGAGGGTGCCCTTTCCCCAATGTATGTTCTTGGTGTCTTTGTCAAAAATCAGTTGGCCATAAAGGTGTGAATTTGTTTCTGGGTCCTCCATTCTGTTTTATTGGTCTGTGTTTCTGTTTTTATACCAATATCTTGCTGTTCTGGTTACTAAAGCCTTGTGATACATTTTGAAGTCAGGTAATGTGATGCCTCCAACTTTGTTCTTTTTGCACAGAATCACTTTGGTATTTGAGCCGTACTTGGTTTCTTACACATTTTAGGATCTTTTTTCTATTTCTGTGAAAAATGACATTGATATTTAGACAGGGATTGTACTGAATCAGTAGACTGCTCTGGGGAGTGTGGTCATTTTAACAACGTTAATTCTCCTAATCCATGAGCATGGGCTCTTTGTTTTGTTTGTGTCCTCTTCAATTTTTTTCATCAGTGTTTGTAGTTTTCCTTGTGAAGGTCTTTCATCTCCTTGGTTAAACTTATTCCTAGGTATTTTTTTTTTAACTATTGTAAATTTGGTTGTCTTCTTGTGTTCTTTCTCAGCTAGTTCATTATTTTTGTATAGAAACAGCACTTATTTTCTGTATGCTGATTTTGTAACCTGTGACTAACTTTACTGAATTTGTTTTATCAGATCTAAGAGTTTTCTCGTGGAGTCTTCAAATTTTTCTAGCTATAAGATCACATCATCTGAAAAGAGGGACCGTTTGACATTCTCTTTTCTTATTCAGATGCCTTTTATTTCTTTCTCTTGCCTGATTACTCTGGCTAGGACTTCCAGTACTATGTTGAATAGGAATGGTGAAAGTGGGCATTCTTGTCTTGTTCCAGCTCTTAGAGAAAAGGCTTTCAGCTTTTCCCCACTCAATACAATGTTAGCTGTGAGTTTGTCATATGTGGCCTTTATTATGTTGAGGTATTGATATGGTTTGGCTGTGTCCCCACCCAAATCTCATCTTCAATTGTTACGCCCACAATTCCCACATGTCATGGGAGGAACCTGGTGGGAAGTGATTGAATTATGGGGACAGGTCTTTCCTGTGCTGTTCTTGTGATAGTGAATGGGTCTCACGAGATAAGACGGTTTTAAAAATGGGAGTTTCCCTACATAAGCACTCTCTCTTTGCCTGCTGTCATCCATGTAAGATGTAAGATGTGACTTGCTCCTCCTTGCCTTCCACCATGATTGTGAGGCCTCCCCCAGCCACATGGAACTGTAAGTTGACTAAATCTCTTTCTTTTGTAAAATGCCCAGTCTCAGGTATGTCTTCAGCAGCAGCATGAAAATGGACTAATACAGGTTTTTTCCTTCTATGCGTGTTTTGTTGAGGGTTTTCATCATGAAGGGATACTGAATTTTATCAAATGTTTTTTCTGCATCTACTGAGATGATCATATGGTTTTTGTCCTTCATTCTGTTGATGTGATGTAGCATATTTTATTGATTTGCATATGTTGAGCCATTCTTGTATCCCTGGGATAAATCCCACTTAATCATGGTGTATTATCTTTTTAATGTACTGTTGGACTTGGTTTGCTAGTATTTCGCTGAGAAATTTTGCCTCTGTGTTCATTGGGAATATTGGCCTGCAGTTTTCCTTTTGGTTCTGTCCTTATCTCCTTTTGGTATCAGGGTAATGCTTGCCTCATAGAAAGAATCAGGGAGAAGTTCCTCTGCTTCAATTTTTTGGAATAGTTTGAGGAGAACTGGTGTTAGTTCTTGTTTGAAAGTTTGCTAGAATTTGGCATTTAAGCCATCCAGTCCTGGACTTTTCTTTGTTGGGAGAATTTTTATTACTGATTCAATCTTGTTACTCATTATTGGTCTGTTCCAGTTTTCTATTTCTTCCTGATTCAATCTTGGTAGGCTACATATATGTATCCAGAAATTTATCCAGTTTGTCTAAGTTTTCTAGTTTGTTTAACTTGCTTTATTTTTAACAGTTCTTCCTTTAGCTTATCTATCTTCTCATAAATTTTACTTATACACAGCAAAAAGCAGCTAGTGACACTTTCAACAATGGCTAGAAATCTTATGAGTTAAATGTCCCAGTCAATATTCTACTTTCCATATTACTAGAGGTAAGTTTTGTTAAATGTTCTGTTATTACATAATGAAGATACTCTTTCTTCTAATTTTCTTTCTTTTTTTTTTTTTTTTTTGAAATGGAGTTTCACTCTTGTTGCCCAGGCTGGAGTGCAATGGTGCATCTCGGCTCACTGCAACCTCTGCCTCCCAGGTTCAAGTGATTCTCCTGCCTCAGCCTCCCAAGTAGCTGGGATTACAGGCATGTGCCACCACACCTGGCTAATTTTGTATATTTTTAGTAGAGACGGGGTTTTACTATGTTGGCCAGGCTGGTCTCGAATTCCTGACCTCAGATGATCCACCTGCCTCAGCTTCCCAAAATGATGGGATTCCAGGCATGAGCCACTGCGCCTGACCCAATTTTCAATAACATTTATAGTTTTCTTCTTTAAGCCCTCACCAGCTTCCTCCTCACAGACCATCAGTTTTCTCCCAGCAATCACTGTAAGATCTCTTTGGCTTTTACTAATACTCTCCTCATAGTCCTTCCAGCCTCACTAACAGTCCAGTCCCAAAGCTACTCCCACATTTTCAGTTTTTGTTAAACTGGAGCCCACATTCAGGTACCAAAATATGTGTAAGTTGTAGCTGCTGATACAAATTACCCCAAAACTTATAAACAGTTACTATCTTCCATAGTTTCTGTGAGTCAAGAATTCAAGGAAGGCTTGTCTGTTCAATTGTGGCTTGGTGATTCTCACAAAATTCAACCAGTTGTTAGCTGAAGCTGCAGGTATCTGAATGCTTTAGTAAGGCTGGAAGATCTTCAAAGGTGCCTCCCCACATGTCTGGTTAAGTTAGTGCTGGCTGCTGGTAGGCCCAACGTCTTCCCTGTGTGGGCATCTTCAAAAGGGTATTTGAAAGCCTCCTGATATGGCAGCTACATTTCCCTAAAACTGGTGATCCAAAAGAGCAGGATGAAAGCCACAGTGCCTTTTATAACCTAGCCTAAAAAGTCACAGATCATTACTTTCATATTCAAATTATCATACAGACTAGACAGGAATCAATACAGTAGAAAACCCAAAAGAAAGTCAATAACCAGGTGGAGAGGATCAGAAGAGGATCAGTAAATGAATGCTATGTAGAAAACATGGTAATTGAGATAGAGTGAATTTGAGTTTGGACAACATAAATATGAGAAAAGCTCATTCATTGAAGAATTGATATTTGAACTGAGACTTGATAAGGTAGAAGCAGCCAATTGTATGTCATGTGACATGGAGTTTTTTGGGGGAAGGGGGCAAAGCAGGAAAGTGGGGCAGAAGACAGGGAATGGCACAAATAAAGGATAATACTTGGAGTATATTAAATTTGATGTTCCTTTTAGAATGCCATATGAAGATGTCAAGTAGGAAGCTGGATATACTATTCTTAAGCTCTAGGAAGAGAGAATGGAGCTAGAAATAAAAACAGAAAATAGAGAATAAAGCATGGAACAGTTAAAATAGGCCATGCCTGAAAAAAAAAAAAAAAAAAAAGAAAAGAAAAGAAAAAAAACCATGGTAATCTGGAAGAGAAAATTAAAGAAACTCTTATACTAGCAAAAATTCAAACAGATGGAGATCCTGAGAGAAAATAAGATTCTAGAGGATATGCCCAGGAAATCTAAGCCCCATTTAATACTGGTTTGAGAAGAGAGGCCAAAGACAATGCAGAAGAAATAAAGCAAATAACCAAAGCATAATAGAAACTTTCTGAAATCCAAGTCTTCAGATTGAATCCCAAGCAGAATTTCACAAAACCAAATAAACAAACACAGATCTAGTTACAGTCTGATAAAAATTACAAAAGCCCAATTATAAGAGAAAAAAATCCAAAAGAGGTAAAAAAAGAAAATACTATAAAGGATTACAAATCATATTAACATGAAACTTTTCATTACCAGTTGTAAATATTAATGGACAATGGAGGTAAATGGAAATTAAAGCAATCAGATTCCACTATACACCTATTTGAATGGTCAAAATCCAAAACACTGACAACAAATGCTGGCAAGGATGTGGAGCAATAGGAACTCTCACTCATTGCTGATAGGAATACAAAATGGTATAGCCAGTTTGAAGATGGGTTGGTGGTTTCTTGCAAAACTAAACATACACTTACCACATGATATAGCAATTATGCTCCATGCTTGGTATTTACCCAGTAGAAAACTTATGTCCACACAAAAACCTGCACATGGGGCCAGGCGCAGTGGCTCACACCTGTGATCCTAGCACTTTGGGAGGCTAAGGTGGGTGGATTACCTGAGGTCAGGAGTTCAAGACCAGCCTGGCCAACAGGGCAAAACCCTGTCTCTACTAAAAATACAAAATTAGCTGGATGTGGTGGTGGATGCCTGTAATCCAGCTACTTGCGAGGCTGAGGCAGGAGAACTGCTTGAACCCAGGAGGCAGAGATTGCAATGAGTTGAGACTGCGCCACTGCACTCCAGCCTGGGTGACAGAGCAAGACTCTGTCTCAAAAAATAACAACTACAAAAAACAAAACAAAACAAAAAAAACCCCTGCACATGGAAGTTTATACAGGTTGAGCATCCCACATCAAAATATCTGAAATCCAAAATGTTCAGAACACTCAGAACTTTTTGAGCACTGACATGACACCCAAAGGAAATATTCATTAGAGCATTTCAGATTTCGAATTTTCACATTAGGGAGGCTCAACTACTAAGTATATAATGCAAATATTTTAATATGCCAAAACAATCTGAAATCGGAAACACTTCTGGTTGCAAGCATTTAACATAAGGGATACTCAACCTGTACTAGAGTTAAGCAGAATAAGGTCAATTTCTTTTTCCATGATAGCCCTTCATTTACTTAAAAACTGTAATTATGTCCTTCCATGAGAGTAATGATGAACAGAGCAGACTGAGGAAGTGAGAATGTGAAAACAGACAGACCAGTTAAGAAGACATTTGAAGACTTTTGAAATTTGTACAAGGCTGAAAATAATAACACAAGATTACGCAGTCAACAGAGGGGAAAAAAGGGATGGCTATGGTTTCATGTAACTACAAATTCTTTTCCAACTGAGAAATGTTCTTATGAGTTGAATGTATATCTTACCTATTTCATTTTAAAATTTACTTTAAAGTCTAATGGACAGCTTCAAAACCAAGTTCTATACAGACATGGGAAAGTGCTGTCTTAAGAACACATAGTGATCTTCAAAAAGACAATCACATTTACTGAATGGGCCCACCCACACAACTCAGAGAGCACCACACAGTTTTGCAATTATTTTACATTCTTTTCTCAGGACTGTGGATATTCTAGAAACATCAACATAGCGCCCACAGAAGTAGTTTAGGTAATATTCCTTAAGGCATCCCTTTAGCATTAGAAGATGATTTACAGTTGAAAAAGCCTAAAGTCTAAAACTTAAATCATGCTTCAGCAAAATTAGACATACTGCAATAATATCCTAATGTTACTGCCTGTATAGCAATGTTAACTCATTAATATTTTCAGAATATTTAGCAGTTTCATTTTGATAATGAGAACACCCAACCATTTTCATCATTACACATACTAAATAATGTTTCCTTAATGTTTCTTACACAAGATGTATGGAAAAGTATATGATATAAGCAATACTGAAGATAAATAAGTAACCTATAAGCAAAAAAAAGACCTGATTTCAAACCTTGACTTCAACTAGCTCTAAACTGCTTCTTACTTGTTTTCCAATATACAATATTCACAATCCCAAGTTTGAATATAAATTTCAAGGTCCAAAAAAAATGCACCCTAAGTGCATTAAGTTGGAAAAGTTATAATTCATCAAACATTGGTCATGGCTGATTCCTTAAAAGAATGTATACATTTAAAAAATATACTTATCTTTATTCAACCTGATTGTCTAAAAAACACAGAAAATTGAATATATGTATAATCATTTCAAGTATTGTATAACTGTTTTCCTTAAAAAGATTTGGGACCTAATTCATATTTATTGAGGTTTTAACTAGAAATTATATCTTCCTGGAAACCATAGTATTTTAGAAAGATATGAAGACAAGTGCTTGTTTTTGTATCTTTCTAAAATACTATGATTTGTAATTTTAAATTCTATTTTCATGAACTAATTATAATAAAGGTGAAAATATTTAAAACTAAAAGCAAAGTTTTACTATTCAGGTAAAATTGTCATTGTAATTACATTTATTTGCAGGTTAAACTATAGAAAATTAAAATTCAACTAAAGTAACAACATGGTGTATATTAGAAGGCACGTATTTACCTGACGTTGCCCTTGGTGTTTCTGAGAACTGTTGCTGCAAAATTCTGTGTCACACCCACCAAGCTGATTCCATCCACTTCCACAATCTGGTCATTGACTTGTATTCTTTAGAAAGAGGAAAAAATTACCCACATAAATTACATAAAAAATTAATTTATGTAATAATCATTTCCAACAAATCAGTTGACAAAATATGTGATTTTTAAGATACTCTTTTTGATCCAAAATCTATCTTTTACATACAGTCAGTTCTGCTTCCTGTTATCAGTGGGTTCCACATTTGTGGATTCAACCAATTGTGGATATAAAATATTTTGAAAAAATAAAAAAAGTAATACAATAAAAAGTACAAAGTAAAAAACTTAACTACACAGCATTTGCATTGTATTACATATTAGAAGTAATCCAGAGACGATTTAAACTATTTGAAAGATGTGCACAGGTTATATGCAAATACTATCTCTATACTATACTGTAAGAGACTTGAGCATCGGCAGATTTTGGTATCCACTGAGGTCTTACAAAGAATCACCTGTGGATTCCCAGGGATGACTATAGAAGCCCCAGATCTTAGTCAAACACTTAATGTTTTAAAAAGACTATTTCCATTAAAAACTGGGCAAAAGACACAAACAGACATTTCCCAAAAGAAGACATACAAATGACCAACAAACATAAAACAATGCTCCACTTCACTAATCATCAGAGAAATGCAAATCAAAACCGCAGTGAGTTACCATCTCACACCAGTCAGAATGGCTATTACTAAAAAGTTAAAAAAAAAACAAACAGATGCTGGGAAGAATGTGGAGAAGAGGGAATGCTTATCCACTATTGGGAGGAATATAAATTAGTTCAGCCACTGTGGAAAGCAGTTTAAAGATTTCTCAAAGAACTTAAAACAGAACTACCATGTGATCCAGTAATCCCATTACTGGGTATATATTCAAAAGAAAACAAACCTTTCTACCAAAATGATACATGCATGTTCACTGCAGCACTGTTCACAACAGCAAAGACATGGAATCAACCTAAATGTCCACAAATGGTGGATGAGATAAAGAAACTGTGGTAGATATACACTGTGGAATACTATGTAGCCATAAAAAAGAATGAAATCATGCCCTTTACAGCAACACGGATGCATCTGGAGGCCATTATCCTAAGCAAACTAACACAGGAACAGAAAATCAAATACCGCACATTCTCACTTATAAGTGTAAGTTAAACATTGGGAACTCATGGACATAAAGGCGGCAACAATAGAAACTGGGGACTACTAGAGGGGAAAGGAAGAGAGGGAAGCAAGGGCTGAAAAACTAAATATTGGGTACTATGCCTGGTACCTAGGCGACAGGATCATTCATATCCCAAACCTCAGCCTCACACAATATACCCAGGTAACAAATCTGCACATGTACCCCCTGAATCAAAAATACAAGTTGAAAAAAAAAATAAAAATAAAGACTGTTTTAAAGGATAGAAACAAGTAATACTAAATGGAGACATTCAGTTTACCAAACATACATATTCCTATCACAAAAATTGATAACTGCAAATGATATATTTACATATTTATATCATTTTTGTCCTTAATAACTGTACATAAAACATAAGAGATCCAGATGAAATATGCTTTGGGCCTAATACCTAGTCTCACAACACACCTATCTTCCCTAAGGAAAAACTTAACCAGGAATTACAGGGAATCCTTCCCATTCAAGGTGTATACTTCAAATATGTAATGCTCATTCATGTGCATCTGTATACTTACATATACATACAAGTGTTTTTGTGTGTGTTCATACTTATGTTTATGAGCATTGTATGTATTGATACTGTTTATTGTATAATACTTTTACATTTCTATATATATTTTATATATATCATTTTTATTCTTCATAATGAAATACTTCAAACATGAGAAATGTAGTCAAACAGATAATAAACTTTCATGTACCCAATACTCACCTTTATAAAATCCTAGCATTGTGCTATATTTGAGTCACATTTTTTCTTTCTTTCTTTCTTTTTTTTTTTTTTTTTGAGACAATGTCTCCCTCTGTCACCCAGGCTGGAGTGCAGTGGTGTGATCTTGGCTCACTACAACCTCCGCCTCCCGGGTTCAAGAGATTCTCCTGCCTCAGCCTCCTGAATAGCTGGGATTACAGGCATGCACCACCAAGCCCGGCTAATGTTTTTTTGTATTTTTAGTAGAGATGGGGTTTCATCATGTTGGTCAGGCTGGTCTTGAACTCCTGACCTTGTGATCTTCCCGCCTCGGCCTCCCAAAATGCTGGGATTACAGGTGTGAGCCACCACGGTCGGCCCGAGTCATATTTTTTCTAAAGAAGCACATTACAGAAAAGTTGAAGCCCATTTATTATTTGTCTCTAGTTTTATTCTCTTCATTGCTTATACAGAGGTAATCACCACACTAATTAAATGATGGGTTGACAGGTATAGCAAACAACCGTGGCACATGTATACCTATGTAACAAACCTGTACGTTCTGCACATGTACCCCAGAACTTGAAGTATAATACTAATAATAATAATAAAAGAATAAAGTGTTTGACCTTTCTACGGATTTTTTGAAACAGGATCTATATATATGCATGAATAGGCATAATTTACATACAATCGTTTATTTTCAAAAATTATGATGTATACCTCTCTTTTTGCAACTTAGTTTGCTTCATTCAGCATTACATTTGAGATTTAACCATGACTATTATAACTGTAATTCTACCTAATTTATTTTAACAACTATATAGTATCATCTTTTATCAATATGCCAAAATGTATTTATTCATTATTTTGCAGCTGGACAATTGTGTTGTTTTCCAATTTAGGTATAATAAAATATTGCTGTAATAGTCAACTTCATACATGCCTCCTTATGCACATGAATGAGTTTTCTCCAGGATATATACCCAGAAATAAAATTCCTGAGTCAAAGAAAAGATTATAAGCATTTTCAATTTTATTAGACATTAACAAATCTCCATGCCCTCAGGAATACTTGGTATGCTCAGATCCTTTAAGTACTGCCAATCATACAGCTGTAAAAAGATATTACAATGTGATTTCAATTGCATTTCACTGATTACTAGTGCGGGTAAACATTTTTTCATATGTTTGTAAGTCACCTGTCTACTTCCACAAATTGTCAAATCATTTCTTTTACCCATTTGTTACACTGTTGTTGTTGGGTTGAGTGACTTTTCTTATTAACTTAAATGAGATATCTTTATATATCTTGGATATTAATATTTCCTTAAACATATTGCAAATACTTTCACCCTATCTGTAGCTTGTCTTTTTATATATCTTTGAAACATGGTGGTTTAGAGGAAAATAATTTTCTAAAGTATATCCACATTTGTAAGTAGGTATTTTTTTGTGTTTTGTTTAAGAAGTACTTTTCTGCCCAAAGTTTATAAAAAGATTCTATATTTTCTTCCTTTTTTGGGGAGGTGGGGGATGGGGTCTCACTATGTTGCCTAGGCTGCTCTCAAACTCCTCGTCTCAAGTGATCCTCCTGCCTTGGCATCCCAAAGTGCTAGGATCACAGCTGTGAGCCACTGCCTTGGGCCTATGTTTTCTTCAAAATGCATTAACATTCTGATTTTCTGTATTTAGGCAGTTATCCACCTGGAAATTTTCTAAAATTATAATATGTGTTGGCAATCTAATTTTATTTTTTTTCAAATGTATAAACAACTGGCCAAACAACATTTAATAGAGTCCATTTCCCCCCCAGAGTTAAGTAGTGCAATATATGTCAAGTTTTCAAATGTGCATCATCATGTTTGTAGGTTCCCTATAGGTTCTATTTATCTCTTTGTTTATCCTTGCATCAATGCTACATTGTCTTAGCTAATAAAGCTTTATAACTAGTTTTTGCATTTCATAGGGCAATTCTCCTAAAATGGTTCATTTTCTTCAAATTTGTCTGAGTCATTCTTGATCCTTTGCTCTTCCTAATTAGTTTTGGGTTTATTTACCAAGTAATATGAAAATATTTGTTGGAGTTTTAATGAAATCATATTGATTTTAAAGATTCCCTTGGGGAGAACTGACAACTTTATCGTATTGACTTTTCCCTTCAAAGAAAATTTGAGTGTTACCATAAGCACCCCTGGGTAAGAGTGGCATAAATCACATTTTGATCCCAAATGTTAAGAAAAGTTATTCAAAGCTTGGAAATAAGGTCAAAAGTAGGGCAACATATTCTTTCAATGTCATATGAATGCATTAACAGATCCACATAAGGATAATTAAGGGAAATTTACTTATTTGATTCACTGTTTACTACTGATTAAAGATCCTAGTTATAGCAGCAGCCACTCCAGACGGCCTGCCGCTGCCATCACGCCGACTGCAGCAGGGAGGTGCTGCCGAGGATACATGCTCCATGGAGCTCCAGGCAGCAGGGGACAAGCGTAAGCCCTTCTCCTTCTGAGGTGGGGTGGGAACTCCCCGGGTGCAGCTGCAGCTGCCCAAATTGCAGCTGCAGACCTGGGCCTCTGCCTCCTTGGAGGAGGCAGGAGCCTAACCCTCCTGGGAAGGGCTGCAGGTGCCCGAGCTGTGGCTGCAGAATGGAGCTTCCCTTTACTTTTGGGGGACCAGGAGCTCCACTTCCCTAGGGTCAAGGGAGCAGCCCATATTGCGGCTGCAGACCCAGGTATCCCTGCACTCTGGGGGGGGAGAGGGGGAGCTGAGAAGGCCCCCCTGCCCCTGCAGGCTCAGAAGTGCCTGCTCCCGCTGCTTGGCTTCTCCCTGCTGTGGGCACCTGCTCCCATCTTGGAGCAAATCGGGGTCAAGCCCATGTGCCATGAACAGCAGGGGGAGGCAGACAGATACTTGGGCAGAAGAGGGCAGATCCCTGAGAGAAGGCCTGAAGCCTGGGGACAGGACTGGCAGTGCTGATTTGGAGGGCAAACTCGTGGTGGTTTTTCCTGGATCTGCCCATGGCTGCCCATGGACTGATCAGCATGCACTTCCCCTCTAATAGGCCTATAAAAGCCCCAGGCTCAGCCAGAGCAGAGCAGATGATGGATGACCAGCTGCAGAGAAGAGCTACCCTTTCTGCTGACAGCAGAAGATGTCCCAACAACCAGCAGAAGAGAGAAGCTATCCATTCTAGGGCCTCTTCTCTGCTGAGAGCTTCAGAAACCTGCAGAGACATCGAGACTACCAGCTGCAGAGTGGAACAATCCACTCCAGGGCCACCTCTCTGCTGAGAGCTAAGAAGACAATGAGATGACCTGCCTGCTAGGAGGAGCTTCCCTCTCCAGGGTCTCCTTTCTGCTAGGAGCTGAACTCTCATTGGAACATCCTGGCTGTGGAAAGGAGCTACCCTCTGCAGGTCTCCTGTGTGCTGTTCTATTGATCAATAAAGCTCCCCTTCATCTCGCTCATCCTCCACTTGGCTCTGTACCTCATGCTTCCTAGTTGCAGGACAAGAACTCGGGACCTACCAAATGGCAGAGCTAAAAGAGCTATAACACAGGACTGAAACATGCCCCCTGCTTGCCACATTGAGGGCAAAGAGAAGGAGATAAGATCTGTGCCTTCTCAGGCAGCCCAGACCTGGGAGCTCCCTGAGCCAGGGCTGTGACTCCCTCTTTGGGGTCCTGTGGTGCCTAGTATCTCCAAGCTTCCAGGTGCCACTGCATTTCCCGGTGCCAGCTGGGGAAGCTTCCTGCAGTGCACCTGGTCTGGCCACAGCCTCACAGAGAGTCAGTGCCTGTGCCAGCACCTGTAACTGCCCGCCCCATTGCAGCAGCCGGCATGTCCGATTGCACACTGGCTGAACCCCATGCTCCCTCACACACCCCTTGCCACTCCATGCCTGACTTACCCTTGGCAGGTATGGGATCCAGGCCAGTAGTGTCAGCCAAGTAAAGCCTGCCAGGCCAGGTAGGCAGAACAAACCCAGCGGGCCTAAGCAAGACTTGGGCAAAGACATCACCAGCCAGAAAAACAATATCCCAAGAATCTTGTGACACTAGGCATAGTGAAGTTCTTTATTAATTTGTAGATTTTTAACCTGGAAAATTCTAATATTTTCAACTATTAAAAAAGATAATCCCCAAAATAATGCTTTATTGTCATGTAAAATATTAAATAGATTGTATGTAACTTAGCTATATTATTCTAAGATAAAATTCATTAACTTGTCTTTAAGAAACTAGTTCCTAAAATGCACTTTGAACTGTATTTATAATCTCACTAGTCCTCTACTTAATTAGGAAGTGGAATAAAATATTTGATATATTTTCTTTTTATATTTACAAAAGTCACCATTTAAATTCTTTGAATTTTAACATGTTATACTTTTGGAGGATCCACTGAGACACTAAAGTGGGTTCATAAAGCCAACCAAACTGTGATAGCACAGAAATGTACTTCAGGAGCTGTTTAGGAGGAGAGACTTTTCTTTCTCCTCAAAGTGATTCTCAAATAGCAATAGAGTCCTGGTGCAGTGGCTCATGCCTACAATCGAGCACTTTGGGAGGCCAAGGTGGGAGAATTGTTTGAGCCCAGGAGTTCAAGATCAGCATAGGCAACATAGCGAGACCTCATCTCTACAAAAAATACAGAAATTAGCCAGGTGTGCCGGCATGTGCTGTGTTTTTTGTCCAGCTACTTGGGAGGCTGAAGTGGAGGGATTTCTTGAAACTGGGAGGTCAAGACTGAAGTAAGCCATGATCCTGCCACTATACTCCTACATGGGGGAAAGAGCAAGACTCTGTCTCAAAAAAAAAAAAAAAAAAAGAAAAAAAGAAAAAAAAGGCAATAGAACTGTACCTTTGCTGTGATGCTAGTCTACTACAAGTTGGCTTTTTTCTTTAAATTTTGAATTTTTCATTTTCTTTTCTAGTTCTTCACCATTTTGGTTCTGGATATAGTTTCCACTAGAAGATGATAATGATGATAATGATAATCCCCATGCATGCATTAATAATTGGGAATGTAATTTTATAATCTGAACTTTAAAGACCTCTGTTAAGATTAAAGGGATTTCTTGTCCTTCATATGAGACATGACAAGGAATGAGAGTTGCATTTTTTAAATTCTTTGTTTCTCTATTTGTGTATCCAAATAATTTCATAAAACATTTTATAACTACTAGAAGGGAAAATAATCCTTTGAAATCTTGAACAGTGTATTTTGGTGTTTCCTTGATTACTTAATCTGTTGCAGAGATTGTTATAATTAAAGCTACAATTTTCTCTGTGTTGCTATAACTCAGAAGTCATTCTCTCTCATTCTGTATGAAGTATTTTCCTAAGAAGAGTATTAATAAATAAAATTTAGAAGTCTCTGAATTTTAAGGAGCTAAGATATAATTGGTTTACATAGTATAAGAAGTTCATGAATCTATAGTAATATCTAAAGAAAACTTCAAATGTACTAGTAATTTAGGGAAAAAATTCTTCTTAAAGGATCTGCTAGCAGCTTAGAAAGATTTTAATTTACGAATCTAAATTCATGCAATAAAAGTGAATCTTTGTAGACTATGTGTTAAGCCACAAGACAAGCCTCAACAAATTTTTAAAAAATGAAATCACATCAACTATCTTCTCAGACCACAATGGAATATAACTAAAAACCAGTAACAAGAGAAACTTTTTAAAAAATGTACAAATACAAGAAAATTTAAAACTATGCTCCTGAACAAACACTGGATCAATGATGAAATTAAGCAGCAAATATAAAAATTTATTGAAACAAATGAAAATGGAAACACAACTTACCAAAACCTATGGTAGATAGCAAATGCAGTGCTAAGAGGAAAGTTGATACCCATAAACTCTACATAAAAAAAAATACAAAGAAAAAAACCACAACTAAAAATGAGTAGAAGGAAACATATAATAAAAACTAGAATTAAACAAAATGGACACTAAAAAAGCAACCAAGAAAAGGATAAGATCAAAATAAACAAAATCAGAAACAGAAACAGAAAACAGACATTACAACTAATACTACAGAAATACAAAAGTTCATCAAAGACTATTATAAGCAACTAAATCTTAATGAACTGGAAAGTTGGAGGAAATGGATAAATTTCTAGATACACATATATAGCCTACTGAGAGTGAATCAGGAAGAAATAAAAAACTGGAACAGATCAATAATAAGTAATGAGATTGACTCAGTAATAAAGTCTCCCAACAAAGAAATGTCCAGGACTGGATGGCTTCAATGCCAAATTCTACCAAACTTTCAAGCAAGAACTAACAACAATTCTCCTCATTCGATGCATGTAAGAAAATATCACATGTACCACATAAATATGTACCAATATAAGGTATCAATTAAAAACTGTTTAAAAATTTAAAGCTAAAAACTGATTCTTTGGACAAATCAGACTGATTTAAAAATTTTGTCTGAAATACATAGCTGTGTTTTCTCCATAATTTTGTAGGGATGTTGAGTTTCTGTTTTCAGAAAATACTAGTTAACCTGAACTTCTTAAAATTCTGATAATAGTGTATTGATCAGATAAGCTAATGATATCCATACCTAAAGCTTAAAATGATAAAAAAGTAAAACTGTTTGACTGAACTGAATCATGATTCTAACAATGTTTTATATCAATAATTACATTTTTTAGTGTCCTCTGAAATGTGATTTCTAAGATTCTTGTGTACTTAACTTCAAGATCTTGAATAGCAAGCATAGCGCTTACAATATACAACTCTACTTCTTACCTTAAAATGTTACGATGTTACCATGATTTTATATCATGTTAATGAATGTGCTCATTCTTGTCACTTGAAGACATAAATATAATGTATGTGAGGCTGGGCGCGCAGTGGCTCATGCGTGTAATCCCAGCATTTTGGGAGGCTGAGGTGAGTGAATCATTTGAGGTCAGGAGTTCGAGACCAGCCTGGCCAATATGGTGAAACTCTACCTCTATTAAAAATAAAAAAATTAGCCGGATATGGTGGCAGGTGCCTGTAGTCTCAGCTACTTGGGAGGCTGAGGCAGGAGAATCGGTTTGAACCCAGGAGGTGAAGGTTGCAGTGAGCTGAGATAGTGCCACTGCACTCCAGCCTGGAGGACAGAGTGAGACTGTCTCTGCCTCAAAGAAAAAAAAAAAAAAAAAAAAGGGTGTGGCTGTAGAGAATGATATTTCCTAGTCACCTAAATTGCTTGTGCATGATAGGCATTATTATCAAGTTCCTATCCACCAGAGAAGGTTAAATACAAGTTAATTAACAATGGTAATATGGGTAACTGAGTCTATTTTAGCAGGGACAGTTTTAAGAAAAAGTGTAACTATGTAGGTGATGTAATAGGATAAATGTTTATTTTTCAAGAAAAGGGACAGAATTTTAGTTCTCAGATAAAGTGAAAGGTTGCTCCAGAATTAAAAAGAAACAAAATGAGGACAAAAACTTGAGCGTACATAGTGAGGAGAGGAAGGTTTAAATAAGAATTTTTATTTGCCTTGATTTATAACATATGGGACAAAACGGAAGCTGTAAATGGGTTAAAAATTTGACACAATTCACTCAACTTTGAAAGCCTTATAATATAAATTAGAAAGAAGAATGCATGGATCTTTACTGTAAAATATTAACTTAATGTAAACATAGAATAGATTACATATCAAAATAACAATTTACCTGGAATTATTTAGCATTCTCTTATTAAGGGATTTTAAGAGATTATGCTTCTCATCAGAATGATTTTCAGGCCAGGCGCAGTGGCTCACTTCTGTAATCCCAGCACTGTGGAAAGCCAAGGCGGGTGGATCACGAGGTCAAGAGATGGAGACCATCCTGGCCAACATGGTGAAACCCCGTCTCTACTAAAAATACAAAAATTAGCCCCACGTGGTGGCACGCACCTGTAGTCCCAGCTACTCAGGAAGGTGAGGCAGGAGAATTGCTTGAACCTGGGAGGTGGAGGTTGCAGTGAGCCAAGATTGTGCTACTGCATTCTAGCCTGGTGACAGAGTGAGACACAGTCTCAAAAAAAAAAAAAAAAAAAAAAAAAAAAAGATTCTCAGTACTATGTGCTGACATTATCACTTCCTTTATTAATGTAAAAAATAAAAACAAACTTATAAATAAGCAAAGCTTCCTACAGTAACATTACCCTTCTCCTACCTGTTTTGGAAATTAATAAACTTTCCTTTTGTAGAGTTTTTTTATGTTCAGAACAAAATTAAGTGGGAAATTTGGAGAGCTTCTCTATAGATCCTGTCTGCACACATGCACAGTCTCCCCCCATCAACCCATCAACATCTTACATGATAGTGGTTCACATATTACAGAAAAAAAAAAAAACCTTTAAAGACACATCATTATTGTTCAAAGCCCACAGCTGACATAAGCATTCACTCTTGGTATTGCACATTCTACGGGTTTTGACAAATGTATGATGGATGACATGTATCCACCATTATAGTATCATACAGAATGGTTTCATTGCCCTAAAAAAATCCTCTGTGCTCCACTTAGTCATCCCTCCCTCCCACCAAATCCCCGGCAAACAATGATCTTTTTACTGTCTCCATAGTTTTGCATTTGCAAGAAAGTCAGATAATAGGAATTATAAAGTATGTAGGCTTTTCACATTAGCTTCCTTCATTTACTGATATGCATTCTTCCATGTCTTCCATGGCTTGACAGCTCATTTCTTTTTAGCACTGAATAATATTCCAATGTCTGGATCTACCACACTTTTTACATTCACCCAGTGTAGGACATCCTGGTGGCTTCCAAACTGGAGTAGTTATAAATAAAACTGCTATAAACATCTATGTGTAAGTTTTTGTGTGGACAAAAGTTTTCAGCTGGGTCAGATCATGAGAGTGTGTTTATTTTCATTAAAGAACTGTCAGTCTGTCCCCCAGAGTGGCTGTACCATTTTGCATTCCCACTAGCAATGAATGAGACACCTTATTGCTCTACATCCTTGTCAGCATTTGTTGTCAGTGTTTTGAATTTTAGCTATTGTAACAGGTATATAGTGGTATCTCATTATTGTTTTAAATAGCAATTCTCTCATAACATGATATTAAACAACTTCTCATATGCTTACTTGTTTTCTGTATATCTTCTTTGGTGAAACGTATGATCAGGTCTTTTGAGCATTTTAAAATCAAGTTATAGTTTTCTTATTATTTAGGTTTTAAGAGCTTTTCGTATACTTTAAATAACAGTCCTTTATTAGTTTTATCTGTTTTAAATATTTGTCCTAGTCTATAGCTTCTCTTCTCATTCCGTTAACACTACTTATCACAAAACACAAGTTTTTGATTTAAAAGAAGTGCAGCTTATCAATTATTTCTTTCATAGATTATGCCTTTGGTGTTGTTTCTAAAAAATCATTGCCAGCCGGACGCGGTGGCTCATGCCTGTAATCCCAGCACTTTGGGGGCTCAGACGGGCAGATAACAAGGTCAGGAGTTCGAGATCAGCATGGCCAATACGGTGAAACTCCGTCTCTACTGAAAATACAAAAAAATTAGCCAGGCACGGTGGCACACTCCTATAATCCCAGCTACTCAGGAGGCTGAGGCAGGAGAATTGCTTGAACTTGGGAGGCACAGGTTGCAGTGAGCCGAGATTGTGCCACGGCACTCCAGCCTGGGCGACAGAGCAAGACTCCGTCTCAAAAATAAAAAATAAAAAGTCATTGCCATACCTAAGCTTACCTAGATATTCTGTGTTGTCATTTAGGAGTTTTGCTTTTGCATTTTACATTTAGGTCTGCAATTCATTTTGAGTTAATTCTTGTGAAGGGTGTAAGGTACTTCTTCAGATTTTTTTTTTTTTTTTTGGCAGGGGGATGTCCAGTTATTCCAGTACTATTGTTGAAAAGACTGTATTTTCTCTAATGTATTGCTTTTGCTCCTTTGCAAGGTTCAGTTGAGTATATTTATGTGGGTCTATTTCTGGGCTTTCTGTTCTGTTCCACTGATCTCTTTGTCTATTCTTTTGCCAGTACCACACAGTCTTGATTACTGAAGCTTTATAGTAAGTCTTGAAGTCAACTAATGTCACTCCTCCAACTTTGTTATTTCCCTTAAATATTAAGTTGGCCATTTTGTGTCTTTTGTCTTTCCATATAAACTTTAGAATCAATTTGTTGATATACACAAATTAACTTGCTGAAATTTGGATTGAAATTTCATTGAATCTTTAGATTAAGTAGGGAAGAACTGACATCTTCTTATCCATGAATGTAGAATATCTTACCATTTATTAATTATTTCAAAACTTTGATCACAGTTTTGTAGTTTTCCTCATACAGACTTCAGATTTTATTAGGTTTATACCTAAGTATTTCATTTTTAGGGGTGTTAACAGAAATGAATTTTAATATGTTTTTAATTTCCAATTCTACTTGCTCATTGCTGTTATATAGGAAAATGAATGACTTTTGTATAATAAGCTTGTATTCTGAAACCTTGCTATAATTGCTTATCAATTTTCAGAGGTTTTTTACTCTATTTTTGAACAGTTATACATAGACAAGGATGTCATTGTGATCAAAGACTTTTACTTCTTCCTTCCAAATCTGTGTATTGTTCATTTATTTTTCTTATCCTACTGCATTAGCTAGAAAATAACTGTAAGAAAGGATATCATTGTCTAGTTCCTAATCTTAGCAGGAAAGTTTTTTAGTTTCTCACTATTAAATATAATGTTAGCTCTAGGTGTTTTGTAGGTATTTTTTTTCAAGTTGAGAAAATTCTGCTCTACTCCTAGTATACTTAGAGTTTTTCTCATAAATGGATGATTTTTGTCAAATGCTTTTTTCTGCATCTACTGATATAATCATGTTATTTTTCTTCTTTAGCCTGCAGATGTGATGGACTATATTCATTGACTTTTGAATGTTGAACCAGCCTTCTATACCTGGGATAAATCCCACCTGGTCTCTGTATATAATTCCTTTTATATGTTGTTGGACTCGATTTGTTAATATTTTACTGATATATATTTGTATATATCAATATACATATTGATATATATTTGTTTTTGCATTTATGTTCATGAGAGATATTAATCTATAGTTTACTTTTCTTGTAACATTTTTGTCTGATTTTGGTGTTAGAGTTCTGGTGGCCTCATAGAATGGAACACGAAGTATTTATTATCTTTGCTTTTATATTCTGGAAGAGATAGGAGAGGATTGGTACACTTTCTTCCTTAAGTGTTGGGCAGAATTCACCAGTAAATCCACCTGGCCCTGTGTTGTTCTCTCTTTTTGAAGGTTGTTAATTTTTTTTTTTTTTTTTTGTATTTTTAGAGAATTGGGGTTTTACCATATTGGCCAGGCTGGCAATAAACTCCTGGCTTCAAGTGATCTGCCCATCTTGGCCTCCCAAAGTGCTGAGTTTACAGGCATGAGCTGCTGTGCCCAGCTGGTTGTTAAATATTGATTCAATTTCTCTACTAGATATAGGCCTATTCAGATTGCCGATTCTTGTAAAGTTTTGACAGATTTACACCTTGGAAAAAATTGGTCTATTTCATCTTGGTTGTCAAACTTGTGGGCACAGAGGGGCTCATAATATTCTTTTATTGTCCTTTTAGTGCCCATGCCATCCACAGTGAATTTTTCTCTCTCATTTTTAATATTACTAATTTGTGTCATCTCTCTTTTTTTCTTAGCCTGGTTAGAGGCTTATCAAAAATATCGATCTTTGCTAAGAACCAGCTTTTGGTGTTACTGACTTTCTCTACTGATTTCCTGTTTTCAATTTCACTGAATTCTGCCCTAATTTTTATTATTTCTTTTGTTCTCCTTACTTTGGATTTAATTTCCTCTCCTTTTTATAGTTTCCTAATGAAGATGCTTAGATAGCTGATTTTAGATCTTTCTTCTTTTCTAATATATATGCATTCAATAATATGAATTTCCCTCAAAGCGCTGCTTTTACAGCATCCCAAAATTTTTAACATGATCTATTTTCATTTTCAATGAGGTCAAAATATTTTCTAAAAAATGACTCTTCACAACAAAAAAAGAAAATTTCAGGCCAATATCCCTGATGAACATCAATGCAAAAATCCTCAATAAAATACTGGCAAACCAAATCCAGCAGCACATCAAAAAAGTTATCCATCATGATCAAGTTGGCTTCATCCCTGGGATGCAAGGCTGGTTCAACATATGCAAATCAATAAACATAATCCATCACATAAGTAGAACGAATGACAAAAACCACATGATTATCTCAATAGATGTGGAAAAGGCCTTCGATAAAATTCAACACCTCTTCATGATAAAAACACTCAATAAACTAGGTACTGATGGCACATCTCTCAAAATAATAAGAACTATTTATGACAAACCCATAGCCAATATCATATCGAATGGGCAAAAGCTGCAAGCATTCCCTTTAAAAACCGACACAAGACAAGGAAGCCCTCTCTCCCCACTCCTATTCAACACAGTATTGGAAGTTCTAGCCAGGGCAATCAGGCAAGAGAAAGAAATAAAGACTATTCAAATAGGAAGAGAGGAAGTCAAATTGTCTCTGTTTGCAGATGACATGATTGTATATTTAGAAAACCCCATCATCTCAGTCCAAAAACTCCTTAAGCTGGTAAGCAACTTCAGCAAAGTCTCAGGATACAAAATCAATGTGCAAAAATCACAAGCATTCCTATACACCAATAATAGACAAACAGAGAGCCAAATCATGATTGAACTCCCATTCACAATTGCTACAAGGAGAATAAAATATCTAGGAATACAACTTACAAGCGATGTGGAGGACCTCTTCAAGGAGAAAAACAAATGACTGCTCAAGGAAATAAGAGAGGACACAAACAAATGGAAAAACATTCCGTGTTCATGGATAGGAAGAATCAATATCATGAAAATGGCCATACTGTCCAAAGTAATTTACAGATTCAATGTATTCCCATCAAGCTACCATTGACTTTCTTCATAGAATTTGAAAATCTACTTTAAATTTCATATGAAACCACAAAAGAGCCCATATAGCCAAGATAATCCTAAGCAAAAACAACAAAGCTGAAGGCATCATGTTACCTGACTTCAAATTATACTACAAGGCTGCAGTAACCAAAACAGCAAGATACTGGTACCAAAACAGATATATAAGCCAATGGAACACAACAGAGGCCTCAGAAACAACACCACACATCTACAACCATCTGATCTTTGACAAACCTCACAAAAACAACCAATGGGGAAAGGATTTCCTATTTAATAAATGGTGTTGAGAAAACTAGCTAGCTATATGCAGAAAACTGAAACTGGACCTCTTCCTTACACCTTATACAAAAATTAACTCAAGATGGATTAAAGATTTAAATGTAAGACCTAAAACCATAAAAACACTAGAAGAAAACCTAGGCAATATGATTCAGGACATAGGCATGAGCAAAGACTTCATGACTAAAACACCAAAAACAATGGCAACAAAAGCCAAAATTCACAAATGGGATCTAATTAAACTAAAGAGCTTCTGCACAGCAAAAGAAACTATCATCAGGGTGAACAGGCAACCTACAGAATGGGAGAAAATTTTTGCAATCTATCCATCTGACAAAGGGCTAATATCCAGAATCTACAAAGAACTTAAATTTACAAGAAAAAAACAAACAACCCCATCAAAAAGTGGGCAAAGGATATGAACGGGCACTTTTCAAAAGAAGGCATTTATGTGGCCAAAAAACTTATGAAAACAAGCTCATCATCACCGGTCATTAGAGAAATGCAAATCAAAACCACAAAGAGATACCATCTCACGCCAGTAAGAATGGCAATCATTAAAAAGTCGGGAAACAACAGATGCTGGAGCAGATGTGGAGAAATAGGAATGCTTTTACACTGCCGGTGGGAATGTAAATTTGTCCAACCATTGTGAAAGACAGTGTGGAGATTCCTCAAGGATCTAGAACTAGAAATGCCATTTGACCTAGCAATCCCATTACTTGGTATATACCCAAAGGATATAAATCATTCTACTGTAAAGACATATGCACACTTATGTTTACTGCAGCACTATTCACAACAGCAAAGACTTGGAACCAACCCAAATGCCCATCAATGATAGACTGGATAAAGAAAATGTGGAATATATACACCATGGATTACTATGCAGCCATACAAAAGGATGAGTTAATGTCCTTTGCAGGGACATGGATGAAGCTGTAAACCATCATTCTCAGCAAACTAACACAGGAACAGAAAACCAAACACCACATGTTCTCTCTCGTAAGTGGGGGTTGAACAATGAGAACATAGGGGCACAGGGAGGGGAACATCACACACCAGGGCCTGACAGCAGTGAGATTACAGGTGTGAGCCGCCATGCCCAGCAATTTCTGTCTTTTAGTAGATGCATGTAAACCACTGACATTCAAAGTGATTAACTGATGTACTTAAACCACTGACATTCAAAAGTAACAAATATTGACTAATATCTACAATATTTGCTACTTTTTTTCTATTTTTTGCCTTTGTACTTTCTTCCAACGTTTGTCTTCAATTCTTTTTCTGCCTTTTGTGGTTTTAACTTTTAATGAATCTTGAAGACTGAATTTTGGGGCTGGTTTCCCATGCTCATTCTCATGCTTATTTGCATCCCTTAAACTTTAATATAGTTTGGTCTTCACCACTAACAATATATTCACTGCAGACAGCATCAGTGATGAAAAGGTGAGAAGGTACTCTTTTCTGTTTTATCTTAGCTCTTCTACTTGTAAATATTAGGTGATCTCCTCTAAAGAAGTGGCATTGTATTATTTCCCTGAATACTTGAAATGTTTATTACATATTTAGATCTGGGATAGCTAGTACGGACATTTCTACAATATTCTACCAATCCATGAACACGAGGTATCTTTCCATTTATTTGTGTCTTCTTCAATTTCTTTCACCAATGTATTACAGTTTTCAGTGTGCATATCTTTCACTTCCTCAGTTAAATATATTACAAAGTATTTTATTCTTTTTGATGTTATTGGAAATGGGATTGTTTTCTTAATTTTTCAGGTAGTTCACTGTTAGTGTGTAAAATACAGCTGATTTTTGTACGTTGTCCACTCAGTAAAGTTGATCCTGCAAGTTTGCTGAATTTATTTATTAGTTCTAACAAATTTTGGTGCATGCTTTAGCATTTTCTTTAATCAGGTCATGTCATCTACAACAGGAATAGTTTACCTTCTTCCCTTCCCGTCTGGATGCCTTTTACTTCTTTTTCTTGTCTAATTATTAGGCTAGGACTCCAGTACTATGTTGATAAGTGGCAAGAGTATCTGTGTCTTATCCCTGATCTTAAAGGTAATGTTTTCAATTTTTCACCGTTAGTATGATGTTAGCTGTGGGCTTGTCATATGTGGACTTTATTGTGCCGCGGTACATTCCATAATAGAAAACAACATAGAGGTTCCTCAAAAATTAAACTAGAACTACCACATGATCCAGCAATCTACTTCTGGGAATATATCCAAAGGAAATAAAATCACTATGTGGAATCAGTATTTTCCATGTTCATTGCAGCATTATACACAATAGCCAAAATATGGAAAAAAAAACCCAGTGTCTGTTGATGGATAAATGGATAAAGAAAATGTGATTTTACACACGCACACATGATAAAGTATTATTCAGCCTTAAAAAAGGAAATCTTATTATTTGCAATAACATGGATGAATCTGGAAGACATTATGCTAAGTGAAATAAGTCAGACACAGACAAATTCTGCATGATCTCATATATATGTGGCATCTCAAAAAGTCAAACACACAAAAACAGAGTAGAAGGCTGGTTATCAGGGACTGGGGGGAGTGGGGCAAATGGGGAGAGGTTTGTCAAAGAGTAGAAACTTTCTGTTATAAGATGAATAAATTCTGGAGACCAAATGTATAGCATAGTGAGTATAGTTAACAATAACATATTGTGTACTTATAATTCACTAGTAGAGTAGACCTTAAATGTTCTCATCACACACGAAATTAACTATGTGAGCTGATGAATATGTTAATTAGCTTGATGAATATGTTAATGATACACTCATTTCACAATGTATATGCACATCAAAATATCACAATTTTTACTTGTTAATTATACTTCAATAAGCCTGAAAAAAAAACAAATTAAAAATTAAAAGACGATTTGGGACAGGAAGTAGAACTAGGAAATGTCAAATAAAATATTAGCTAATTCATGTGACCAGACCTGCGTCTATTATACTTGCTAGATAATAATGCCCAGGAAGTACCAGCCCAGGTAATAATGTATTAGCTCTTAGCCTCCTACTAAGCCAAGATTCCTTTCTCACATGGGCCTCTGCCAGGGGTTTCATAAGGAGGAAAACTGAATGTTAGGATTTAGGCACTACTGACTCGGTAGGGTAAATACCAATAAAATCACCTCTAATATCCTTGCAACCAAAATAACAAATTGGCTTAGAAACACTCGAAAGCAGAGTTCCTCTAACCATCTATATCAGAATTACCTGGGGGTACGTGTTTAAAATACAGTGGGCCCCACTCTGAGAGCAGATCTCACCAATCAGTATAATAAGTCTGAGATCTATGGTCTTATGATATCTAAGAGGTTTTAAGTAGAAAAAAAGAAAAAAATTGTAATATTTGTCTTCTAGCAAGGCAGAATGGCCTGGCAGCTATGGAATGCCAATAAAGACTAAACCAGACCAAAAACAAGAGATGATACCTGAAAATCACAAATGACACCAGAAAGCTAAGCAACTAATAACTAATAGGAAGATACGACAGTTCATTAGAAATTGATTATAAAAAGCCAGAGGGTCCAGAGCTGTACATTGGAATAATATGGGCAGCTATATAAAATACAAGTAACTTGGTCTAACCCTAATGTGCTAAATCAAATTCAACAAAGAGGGCCAGGACTCCAATCTTCAGAGAATTCCTTGGGATATTCAAGGATATTTCACAGCTGAGAAGACTTACAGGAGACTCCTCTGTTCCCAAATTCATTTCACACAGTCCAGTTAGTATGAAATAATAACATAATATTAAGTCATTGGATAAAAGAGAAGGAATGATTATAATGGAAATATAAATAATATATATAACACATAATATACACAAAATGCATACTGAAGACATAATAATTCAGCTTTGTCTCTTTACATGTATCACCCAACAAACTTCACTGGTTTAGGTCCATACAGTTTCACAATGGTACTTCCTCTAACTCATCTCATTATCATTGGCTCTATGTGTTCCTCAAATTCATTCTGCATATCACTCATTAAAAAAATTAATCTTGTCCATATAATAAACACTTATATTTATGATCAACAGATTTTCAACAAGGATGCCAAGATCATTCAATGGAAAAAGACTAGTCTTTTCAAAAAATGATGCTAGAAAACTAAATATCCATATGGAAAAGAATGAAGCTATGAATATATCCCTTCCTCACACCTTATACAAAATTAACTAAAATGGATCATAGACCTAAATATAAGAAAGACTAAAAACTACAAAACTCTTAGAGGAAGATGAACGAGTAAATCTTTATGATCTCAGAATATGTAAAGTCTTCTAGGATATGAGATCAAAGTATAAGTGACAAAAAAAACTAGATGAATTGAACTTCATCAAAATTAAAATATTTTATGTTTCTAAGGAAACTATCAAGAAAGTGAAAAGGCAACTCATAAGTTAAAAGAAAATGTTTACATATTATGTATCTGATAAGAAACTTCTGTCCAGAATATCATAAAAAACTCTAACTCAATAATAAAACAACCGAATTTTAAAATGGGGAAAGAATCTGAATATTCATTTATCCAAAGTAGATATAAAAATGGCCAATAAGCACATGAAAAAAATGTTCAACATCATTAGCCACCAGGGAAATGCAAACCAAAACTAAAATGAAATACTTCATACCCACTCAATAATCAAAGAGATAAAAACAAGCGCTCATGAGGATGTAAAGAAATTGGAACCCTCATACATTGCTCGTGAATAGGTAATATGACTCAGCTGCTTATGAAACCACTCTAGTAGTTGCTCAAAAGGCTAAACATAGTTATTATATGACCCAGAAACTCTACCACTAGATATATTCCCAAGAGAAATGAAAATATGTCCACACAAAAACTATCACATGAATGTTCATTGCAGCATTATTCTTAAGAGCCCAAAAGTGAAAACAACCCAAATATCCATCAACTAATATCAAAATGAATAAACTAAATGTGGTATTATCAAGTCAATGGAATATTATTTTGCAATAAAAATGAATTAAGTACTGATAAATGCTACAACATGAATGAACCTTGAAAACGTTTCTCTAGTTAAAAAAAAAAAAGCCAGTCACAAAAGACCACATACTGTATTCCATTTACATGAAATGGCCAGGAGAGCCAAATGTATAGAGACAGAAAGTAGATTTGTGCCTATGGCAGAGAAGGGAGAGGAGAGCTGGGGGGAAAGGAAAGTGACTGTTAATGGATTTGGGGTTTCTTTTTGAGTGGTAAAAATATTGGGTGGTAAAAATTCTAAAATGAATTGTGATGGTTATATAACTCTTGAATATTCACAAAACCACTGAATTGTACACTTTAAATGAGTAAACTATATGGTATGTGAATTACATATCAATAAAGGTGTAAAAAAATAAATCTTAGAGAACAATTTTATCTGAAACACCATCAGCTTCATCATTCCAATAAAATATATTTCTAATCACTTGGCCTAGTTTTCAAGTTTCTTCAGCACTGGGTCTTCACCTAATTCTGGTATTTTCATCCTAGATTATCATTTTTGACATTTAAATTTTTTTATTATCTGTCCCTTATCTGACTTCACCTCACCCTTATTTCACCATGCATAAGACTGAAATACTTTACCCATAGAAAATAGGAATGTTAGTTAAGTTCAAGAATATTTTATTGTTTATTGTGGTGGTTTCATTAAAACTAATTAAGGCTGGGAGTAGTGGCTCAAGCCTGTAATCCTAGCACTTTGGGAGGGCAGGGCAGGCGGATTGCTTAAGCCCAGGAGTTCGAGACCAGACTGGGCAACATGGCGAAGCCCCACTTCTTTAAAAAAAATAAATAAATAAATTAGCCAGGTGTGGCAGTGTGCACCAGTGGTCCCAGTTACTCTGGAGGCTGAGGTGGGAGGATTGCTTGAGCTTTGGAGGCAGAGGATTTCAGTGAGCCAAGACTGTGCCACTGCACTCCAGCCTGGGTGATAGAGTGAAACTCTGTCTCAAAAAAATAAAAATAAAAACTAAAACTACTCTCATCTCCTGGCCAGTTGTGGTGGGTCATGCCGGTAATCCCAGCACTTTAGGAGCCTCAGATAGGTAGACCACTTGGGACCAGGAATTCAAGACCAGCCTGGCCAACATGGCAAAACCCCGTCTATACTAAAAATACAAAAAAATTAGCTGGGCACAATGGCATGCCTGTAGTCCCAGCTACTTGGGAAGCTGAGGCAAAAGAATCACTTGAACCCAGGAGGCAAAGGCTGCAGTGAGCTAAGATTATGCCACTACAGTCCAGCCTGGGCAACAGAACAGGACTCTGTCAAAAAAATAAAGTGAAATAAGCAATTATAATTGATTGAAAATTAATTAATGGATTAAATATTATAGTGGATTAAAAATTCTAGAATACTGTATATATGCCTTCTCCCACTTGATCCATGTGGTTAGAGGGACAGAGGTTCTGTTCTCTCATACAGTAGGTCCATAATCACTTTTTCCCTTTGTTAGTCATTCTTCCCAGAAATTTAGAAAAGCATGGCCTTCTCTAGTTCTCTCTAGCTTACGCTCCACTCCCCTACAGTGGAAAAATGAATGGAGCTACAACCACCTACTTCTACTTTCATTTCTTCTTTTCTTTCTAGCAAGTAGCAAGAGCTGGGTTCACTTTGAGCTACTCAGCCATTCTCTTATTTTCTTCCAGTATAGCCTCTTTCTACTTTTCCTCTAGCTCTAAGTAGTAATGCCTTTGGTAGCAATGTGGTAGTAGTATTAGAGATTTGCTTTAAAGGAAAACAAAAAACAAAAAGTCTTCTAGCTAATTCCAGACTCATCTAGCTTAAATACTCTGCCAGATTAAGCTTACTCATGATGAGGTTGGGAGTCAAAGCTTCAGGGTTTTTTTTTTCTTTTTTTTTTTTTTTTAATGTTTTGCTTTATGTAATGTACATGAAACAATGAACTACAGCTCCCACATGAGGGAATATAAAGAAAGCTGAAATTCAGTCTTCATTCTAGCTGCCAGGCCATACATCAATAAGACTGCATCTTTCCAGAAAAGGCATGTTTTTCCAAATTTGCAAAAAAGTACTCTACGAATTAGCAGCGTCCCTACCTTACTGGATAAGATAGTCTAGGGCACTGGTTCCCAAACTGCCTCACTGCAACAGAATAACATGAAGCAATTTTGAAAATCACAGATTCCTGAAGTTGCACCTTCTGCAAAAGTCTCATTCAGAAGACATGAGGCAAAAGCACAAAATAGAAATTTGAGTTGTGATATGGTTTGGCTTTGTGTCCCCACCCTAATCTCATCTTAAATTGTAATCTCATAATCCTCACATGTTGTGGGAGGGACCCGATAGGAGGTAATTGAATCATGGGGCTGGTTTTCCTCCATACTGTTCTCGTGATAGTGAGGAAGTTCTCATGAGATCAGGTGGTTTTATAAGTATAGGGCTTCCCCCTTCGCTCTGCACTCATTCTCTCTCCTGCTGCCCTGTGAGGAGGTGCCTTCTGCCATGACTATAAGTTTCCTGAGGCCTCCCCAGCCATGCTGAACTGTGAGTCAATTAAACCGCTTTCATTTATCAATTACCCAGCCTTGGGTATTTCTTCATAGCAGTGTGAGAATGGACTAATATAAGTTGTTTCCTGATTTTGTCTATTATGAATAAAGTTGTCATTCACATGCAAGACTTTATGTAGACATATGTTTTCATTTCTATTGGAAAATATCTTGGAGTGGAATTGCTGGATCAAAAAGTTAAGTGTACATTTAACTTTAAAAAAAACTTCCAAACTGTTTTCCTAAGTGGCAGTGAAATTCTGCATTCCCACTAGCCATAAGGGAGCGTTTCACTTCTCTGTATCCATGTCAGCACTTTATATTGTTAGCATTCTTATCTTTAGCCATTCTACTAGGTGTGCAGTAATATCTCATTAAAGTTTAATTTGCATTGCTATTACATTGAATATATTTTCACATACTATTGGCCAGTCATAAGTTTTCCACTTTGAAGTGGCTGTTGAATCTTCTGTCCATATTTTAAACATTCAGTGGTTATTCTTCTTGTCATTATTAGTGTTCTTCATATTCTGGATACAAGTTCTTATATATATTTGAAAATATTTTCTCCTTGTCTATGTCTTTGCTTTTCAGTTCTTAACTGTGTTTCTCAAAGAACGAAAATTTGGATATAATGAAGTTCAATTTCTCAGTTTTTTCTTTCATGGTTCGTACTTTGTGTCCTGTCTCAGAAATCTTTGTTTAATATGATTTTATAAAGATTTTCACCTCTGTATTCTTTTAGAGCTTTTATAATATTAGACCTATGTCCAGATCTACAATTAATTTTGAATTAACTTTGTATATGGTGTGAAACAGGGTTTGTGGTCCAATTTTTTATTTCTCCATATGGGTATCTAATTGTTCTAGCACTTTGCTGAAAAGGCTATACTTTTTCCAATGGAATTATCATGGTACTTTTATTGAAAGTCAGCTGGCCGGGCGCGGTGGCTCATGCCTGTAATCCCAGCACTTTGGGAGACCAAGGCGGGCGGATCACGAGGTCAGGAGATCGAGACCATCCTGGCTAATACGGTGAAACCCCATCTCTACTAAAAATACAAAAAATTAGCCGGGTGTGATGGCGGGCACCTTTAGTCCCAGCTACTTGGGAAGCTGAGGCAGGAGAATGGTGTGAACCTGGGAGGCGGGGTTCGCAGTGAGCCGAGATCGCGCCACTGCACTCCAGCCTGGGTGACAAAGCAAGACTCCGTCTCAAAAAAAAAAAAAAAAGAAAAAAAGAAAGTCAACTGACTATATGTTTTCATCTATTCCTGACTTTTTTTCTATTACATTGATCTATATTTCTATACCAATGGCATACTGTCCTGATTATTGAAGCTTTATAGCAAGTCTTGAAAAACCAAATAAGGTCAGTCCTCTAACTTTGTTCTTTTTCAGAACTGTTATCTTGGTCCTTTGCATTTCCATATGCATTTTAGAACAATCTTGTCAATTTCTCCAAAAACAACAAGAACAACAAAAAACCTGCTAGAGTTTGATTGGGATTTCTTTGACTCTACAGATCAATATGGGGAAATTTCACATCTGAAAGACAGTGAGCCTTCTGTTCTACAAACATCATGTATGTTTCCATTTATTTACCTGCCAAATATCCTACTGCCATCAACCCTTAATTTCATTTCAACAGGACTTGATTTTTTTCCAGCAACATCCTCACATTAACTAAAAGCTTTAAGGCAAGCCACACTCTGAAAAGACTTGCATCTTTTTTTTTTTTTTTTTTTTTTTGAGTTCATGTCCTTTGTAGGGACATGGATGAAGCTGGAAACCATCATTCTCAGCAAACTATCGCAAGGACAAAAAACCAAACACCCCATGTTCTTACTCATAGGTGGGAACTGAACAATGAGAACACTTGGACACAGGAAGGGGAATATCACATACCAGAGTCTCTTGTGGGGTTGGGGGAGGGGGGAGGGATAGCATTAGGAGATATACCTAATGTAAATGATGAGTTAATGGGTGCAGCACACCAACATGGCACACGTATACATATGTAACAAACCTGCATGCTGTGCACATGTACCCTAGAACTTAAAGTATTATAAAAAGATACATTAAAAAAAAAGACTTGCATCTTTTATGAAACTTTGCCCATAAGTCCTTTCTCTACCCTTTCAAAAGCCTTTTCTTGAAGGTCCAGCTCAAATAACTTCTCTTTGAAGTCACCTGCCTATCCAAGCTTATGATCTTTTCCAACCTTTGAACCTCTTCTATATCACTGAATACCTCAAACTTACATTACATATTACCAGATATTGTGTGGTATTTCTTGATGTATAAGGTCTCTTTAAGCAGACAGAGTGCAAACTTCTTGGGTCTTATAGCTAAACCCAGAGCAATAAATATGTTTTCCTAATCTTATTAAGACATTTTAGGAAAAGAAAGAATTCCTTTTATTTGTGGTTTTATTTTCTGGATGGAACAAAAGTTAGGATGTCAAATATTAGGAAAGTATTTCTGATACACACTTGTTAATGAGACTTAAAAGAAGCAAATATCCTGCTGAGTTCTCCATCATTATGTATATGCCATTCTCTTTCCCACAATCACATATTCTCCTAGCCAATCATCATTTAAAATGTTATTTTCTCAGACTATCTAGAAAACATCTTTCCTGACTAAATGTTACATGACCTTAATACCATTTTTAACTTTATATCTTTGTGCATGTTTATATACGACTTGCATCATTTTATTTATTTATGATTTTAATTTTGAAATAAGGTCTTGATATGTTGCCAAGGCTGGTCTCAAACTCCTGGGATCAAGTAATCCTCCCACCTTGGCCTCCCTGGTAGCTGAGACTATAGGTGCATGTCACTGTGCCCAACCACATAATTTAATATTTAGTTGTATTGCTTTATAAAAGTTATTATGTTGTGTAAAGATGTGTTAGGAGCAGAGACTTTGTGTTATAAGTTGATTCTAGACTACCTTAAAGCATGAAATTATGCCTTTTATTTCTTTTTAACTTATGCATAAAATAAAATAGAATGCTATGGAATTAACAAGTACTCAATATATTCTTTGATAGCAATAATCATCAATGTTTCTGAGTGACAAATGACTACAAATGGCAATCCTGCCAAGCAACTTTCATGGCACTACAAGTTGGTGGACTTAGGGACGTATACGGAAGATAAAGGCAAGAAGAAATTCTTTATCTTTCAAATATTTAATTTATAATATACTTTGTATTTTGAAAGCCAAATTAAAGTTGAGCCATGGCATTTGAAGGATGAACAGAGGTGGCTTTCCAGCAAAAAAAAAAAAAAAAAAAAAAAAAGTAAAGCTGAAAGCTTAATCTCTCAAACAGAAAGATAATCACTGTCACATACTTTCATGAAGTGAAAGGATTAATAATGCAACTTTAATAAGGCAAGAGCACTTGAGAAGGCAAATATTTTTTTAAAGGGCAAAAAATTAAGAGTGAGTAAGAGGAATACTAAATAATAGATTATAAAAAAACTTTGAAAACAAGTTTTAAAAATCAAATATGTACAGAGCTAGTATTTACTGGGAAGAAAAAAATAAAAGCAAAATACAGGTTTGTACAATATCAATAGATAGAATGATCAGAAGTGAACGAAAACTAAGGTGATAATTGCCTTAATGGGCAAAAATAAAGAAAGAACAAACTAGATCAAAAAATGTCTGAAAATAAGCATCCTGTCAATTCTGATAAAATGCAATGAAATAAGTACAACTGAAGGGACTAAGTAATCTAATCAGAAGAAAGATAGCAAAAATGCTGGAAAAATATAAATAGGGAAAATAATATGCTTGCTTCATTGGTTTGGTTGAATAATCCAGTTAGTAATTTAGCAAAAGTAATTTGATCCTGACTATAGCAAAAGGACAGAGAGTTACTGGGATACAAATTTAAATAAGACATGATCTCTGTTTAAGGATACCATACACATACACAAATACGCACATGTACACATACATGTAAATATGTGTATATGCATATACAGGATATGTGTTGCAGGCATTAGAGACACAGGAGTGTGATAAGCTATAAAAAACACTATAAGTGTGCTAAGAAAGGTATGAATAAAATAGGTTGATGTTAAGAGGAGGGGCTGCTGACTCTTTAAAGTGAAGATAAAACAAAATGAGAGCAACAAGAAGACTGAGAATAGATGGATTCAGAAGTCACAGTGTTTTTCCAAATAACGAAAGTCATCAGCCCTAACGTATAATACTGTTTTTTAAAAAAAGTAAATGGCAATATGACCCTCACAAAGACTAGAGATTATTGAAAATTGCCTTTAGGAAAAGTAATAGAACAAACATTAAAAACTAAAGTTATAAGGAAATTTGCCAAGAAAAAAAATTGGTTCCTGAAACTGGAATCATTCCACTCACAAATGTGTTTGAATACTTATCAAGAGTCTAACATAGGCCGGGCGTGGTGGCTCATGCCTGTAATCCCAACACTTTGGGGGGCCAAGGTGGGTACATCACCTGAGGTCGGGAGTTTGAGACCAGCTTGACCAACATGAAGAAACCCCATCTCTATTAAAAATACAAAACTAGCTGGGCGTAGTGGTACATGCCGTAATCCCAGCTACTCAGGAGGCTGAGACAGGAGAATCACTTGAACCTGGGAGGCAGAGGTTGTGGTGAGCCGAGATCACGCCATTGCACTCTAGACTGGGCAACAAGAGTGAATACATGTGCAGAATGTGCAGGTTTGTTATACAGGTATACATGTGTCATGGTGGTTTGCTGCACCCATCAACCTTCATCTAGGTTTTAAGCCCAGCATGCATTAGGTATTTATCCTAATGTTCTCCCTCCCCTTGACCCCCACCCACCAACAGGCCCCAGTGTGTGATGTTCGCCTCCCTGTGTCCATGTATTCTCATTGTTCAACTCCCACTTAAAAGTGAGAACATGTGGTGTTTGGTTTTCTGTTCCTGTATTAGTTTGCTGAGAACAATGGCTTCCAGCTTCATCCATGTCCCTGCAAAGGACATGAACTCATTCTTTTTTTATGGCTGCATAGTATTCCAAGGTGCCTATGTGCCACATTTTCTTTATCCAGTCTATCGTTGATGGGCATTTGGGTTGGTTCCAAGTCTTTGCTATTGTAAATAGTGCTGCAATAAACATATATGTTTTTAAAGCATTTAAAATTTAATGCACCTAGGGCCGAGTGTTGTGGCTCATGCCTTAACCCCAGAACTTTGGGAGGCTGAGGCAGGAGGATGGCTGCCTGGTTCAAGACCAGCCTGGGAAACATGGTGAAAACCTGTCTCTACTAAAAATATAAAAATCAACCAGGCATGGTGGTGTGCACATGTGGTCCCAACTACTTGGGAGCAGGAGAATTGCTTGAACCCGGGAGGTGGAGGTTGCAGTGAGCCAAGATCATGCCACTGCACTCCAGCCTGGGTGACAGGGCAAGACTCTGTCTCCAAATAAATAAATAAATAATGAAATCAAATAAAATGTAATGCACCTGGACATGGTCTTCTGGTCCTAAGAATTCATTTCAAAGAATGATGAACAATAATTTTTATGTAAAAATGCTTACCTCACCAATATCTTGAAACAACATACTCGTAAAACAATATATAAATGATGTGCATATATATATATATATATATATATATATAATACGACTGCATAATATATCCTTAAAGTCTATTATAAAAACTAATGACATTATATAAAGTAATATATTATTTAAGTATAAGCACTAGAGTCAGATATCCTAGGTATACAGGCAGGCTCTGCTACTTATTTGCTATGAATGACAGCATAAGGAGGCAGACAAATTCCTAGGCAGACAGGGACAGGTCCCTGGTGAAACCCGACCTACAAGCCAAAGACAGTTTAAAGACTGAAAACTGAGCTACCAGTCCATAGAGCCCGTGACTGGAATGAGAACTTCCTTGATGCCTTTTAACCAATTGAATGGTGCTTTTTCCAGGCAGGCCCATGGACCAATCAGCATGCACTTTCCTATTATTAGCCCATAAAAATCCTGGACTCAGCCTCACAGAGGGCTACCTGCTCTTGGGTCCCTTCTCTGCTGAGAGATCTCCTTCTGTCGCTCAATATAATTCTTCTCTGCCCTACTCAGTCTCTGGTGTCTGAGTATCTAATTCTTCTTGGTCATGGCACAAGAACCCAGAATTTGCCACTCTGCAGGCAGCAGGAGCAAACGATCTGTAACACGAAGAAGGTATAACATTTCTTGGGGATCTCAGACCTTGGGACTCTCTGGGTGAGAGCTGTAACAGCACTTGGGGCTCAACAGTTGCTGGCACCTCTGAGTTTCTGGGTGTCACCACATTACCCTTGTCTAGATGCCAGCACCCAAGACCGAAGCAGGTTGCTGCACACCCAGCCCAGCCATAGACTAAGTGTGGATCCTGTGGCGGGTGCAGCATCCAGACTGGGGTGCAAGCCAAGTGCAGCCTGCAGCGGGCGGGTGAGCAGCGTGAACCCAGTGAGCCTGAGCAAAGAGACATCGGCCGCAGAGATTTCCAGCTGGCGAAGCGGCACCGAAGGGGTCATGTAACACCGGAATCCTCCCTCCTGCTCACCAAACTGTGGGGGAAAAGAGCTGCTAGGTGTGTTTCTCACCCACCACTGAACTACAAAAGCCATGACAGTTGGTTCAACATATACAAATCAATAAATATGATTCACCACATAAACATAATTAAAAACAAAAACCATACGATCTTCTCAGACAGGGAAAAATTTTAGATAAAATCTAATATTGCTTCATGATGAAAACCTCAAGAAACTAGGCACTAAAGAAACATACCTCAAAATAACAAAACCAATCTATGATAAACCCACAGTCAACATTAGGCCAAATGGGCAGAAATCTGGCAGCATTCCCCTTAAAAACTGGAACAAGATAAGGGTGCCCACTCTCATTACTCCTATTCAACATAGTACTGGGAGTTCTAGCCAGAGCAATCAGGTAAGAGAAAGAAATAAGACATCCAAATAAGAAAAGAAGAAGTCAAACTATCTTCATGGACAATATAATTCTATACCTAGAAAGCCCTAAAGACTCCACCAAAAAGCTTCTGAAACTGATAAACAACTTCAGGAAAGTTTTAAGAGACAAAATCAATGCACAAAAATCAGTAGCATTTCTATACATCAATACCACTCATGTTGAAAGCTAAAGCAAGAACAAAATTCCATTTACAATAACACACACACAAAATGAAATACCTAGGAATACATCTAACCAAGAAAGTGAAAGATATCTATAAGAAGAACTATAAAACACTACTAAAAGAAATTATAGATGACAACAACAAATGGAAAAACATTCCATGCTCATGGATTAGAAGAATCAATATCAGCAAAATGGCCATACTGACCAAAGCAATCTGCAAATTCAACACTAGTCCTATCAAACTACCAATGTCATTTTTCATAGAACTAGAAAAAATATATAAAATTAAAAATTCAGATAGATTCCAGCACCTACCTCCTGAAAGACAAAAAAAAAAAAAAGTTAAAATTCATATAGAACCTAAAAAGAGCTGAAATAGCCAAAGCAATCGTAAGCAAAAAGAACAAAGCAGGAGGCATCACGTTGCCCAACCTCAAACTATACTCTAATGCTACAGTAACCAAAACAGCATACTACTGGTACAAACACAGACATATAAACCAATGGAACAGAATAGAGAACCCAGAAATAATGCCCCATACCATTCTGTTTTCATGCTGCTGATTAAGACATATCAAAGATTGGGTAATTTATAAAGGAAAAAGGTTTATTGGACTTACAGTTCCACATGGCTGGGAAGGCCCCACAATCATGGCGGAAGGTGAAAGGCACATCTCACATGGCAGCAGACAAGAGAACAGCTTCTGCAGGGAAACTCCCCTTTTTAAAACCATCATTATCTCGTGAGACTCATTCACTGTCACGACAACAGCACAGGAAAGACCCATTCCCATAATTCAATCACTTCCTAGCAGGTTCCTCCCACGACATGGGAATTGTGGGAGTTACAATTCAAGAGGAGATTTGGGTGAGGACACAGCCAAACCATATCATTCTGCCCCAGCCCCTGCCAAATCACATGTCCTGACATTTCAAAACCAATTACACCTTCCAAACAGTCCCCCATAGTCTTAACTTATTTCAGCATTAACTCAAAAGTCCACAGTTCAACATCTCATCCGAGACAAGGCAAGTCCCTTCTGCCTATGAGCCTGTAAAATCAAAAGCAAGTTAGATAGTTGATATAATGGGGGTACAGGCATTGGTTAAATACTGCTGTTCCAAATGGAAGAAACTGGCCAAAACAAAGAGGCTACAGTCCCCATGCAAGTCTCAAATCCAGCAGGGCAGTCAAATCTTAAAGTTCCAAAATGATCTCCTTTGACTCCATGTCTCACATCCAGGTCACATGATATAAGAGGTGGGTTCCTGTGGTTTTGGGAAGCTCCACCCCTGTGGCTCTGTAGGGTACAGCCTCCCTCCCAGCTGCTTTCATGGGCTGGTGTTAAGTGTCTGTGGCTTTTCCAGGCATAGAGTGCAAGCTGTCAGTGGATGTACCCATCTGAGGTCTAGAGGACAGTGGCCCTCTTCTCATAGCTCCACTAGGCAGTGCCCCAGTAGGAATTCTGTGTGGGGGCTCTGACCCCACATTTCCCTTCCACACTGCTCTATCAGAGATTCTCCATGAGAGCCCCACCCCTGCAGCAAACTTCTGCCTGGGCATCTGGGCATTTCCATACGTCCTCTGAAATCTAGGCAAAGGTTCTCAAACCCCAATTCTTGACTTTTGTGCACTTGCAGGCTCAACACCATATGGAAGCTGCCAAGGCTTGGGGCTTGCATCCTCTGAAGCCACAGCCCAAGCGCTAGCTACCTTGGCCCCTTTCAGCCAAGGCTGGAACAGCTGGGAAACAGGGCACTAAGTCCCTAGGGTGCAAGCAGCATGGGGACCCTAGGACCAGCCCATGAAACCACTTTTCCTTCTAGGCCTCCCAGCCTGTGATGGGAGGGGCTGCCCTGAAGACCTCTGATATGCCCTGGAGACATTTTCCCCCATTGTCTTGGGGATTAACACTCAGCTACTTATTACTTGTGCAAATTTCTGCAGCTGATTTGAATTTCACTTCAGGAAATGGGATTTTCTTTTCTATCTCATTGTCAGGCTGCAAGTTTTCCAAACTTTTATTCTGTTTCCCTTTTGAAACTGAGTGCCTTTGACAGCACCTAAGTCACTTCTTGAAGCCTTTGCTGCTTAGAAATTTCTTATGCCAGATATCCTACATCATCTCTCTCACGTTCAAAGTTCCACAGATCTCTAGGGTAGGGGCAAAATGACAACAGTCTCTTTGCTAAAACATAACAAGAATCACCTTTGCTCCAGTTCCCAACAAGTTCCTCTTCTCCATCTGAGGACACCTCAGCCTGGACCTTATTGTTCATATCACTATCAGCATTTTGGTCAAAGCCATTCAACAAGTCTCTAGGAAGTTCCAAATTTTCCCACATTTTCCTGTCTTCTTCTGAGCCCTCCAAACTGTTCCAACCTCTGCCTGTTGTCCAGTTCCAAAGTCGCTTCCACATTTTCAGGTGTCTTTTCAGCAATACCCCACTTTTTCTGTGGGGTATTAGTCTGTTTTCAAACTGCTGATAAACACCTACCTGAGACTGGGTAATTTATACAGGAAAAAGGTTTATTGGACTTATAGTTCCATGTGGGTGGGGAGGCCTCACGTTCATGGCAGAAGGTGAATGACACATCTCACATGGCGGCAGACAAGAGAAGAGCTTGTGCAGAGAATCTCTCCTTTTTAAAATCATCAGATCTCATGAGGTTCATTCACTATCACAAGAATAATGTAGGAATGCCTCCACCCCCAAAATTCAATCACCTCCCACCAGGTTCCTCCCACAACATGTGGGAACTGTGGGACTTACAATTCAAGATGAGATTTGGGTGGGGACACAGCCAAACTCTATCACCTACAGACATCTAATCTTTGACAAAATTGACAAAAATAAGCAATGGAGAAAGGACTCCCTATGCAATAAATAGTGCTAGGATAGCTAACTAGTCATGCTCAGAAGAATGCAACTGGACCCCTAGCTTTCACTGTATATAAAAATTTAACTCCAGATGGATTAAAGATTTAAACGTAAGACCTCAAACTATAAGAATCATAGACGAAAACCTAGGAAACACCATTCAGGACATTGGCCTTGGGAGAGAATTTATGACTAAGTCTTCAAAAGAAATTGCAACAAAAGGCCGGGCATGATGGCTCATGCCTGTAAGCCCAGCACTTTGGGAGGCCGAGGCGGGTGGATCACCTGAGGTCAGGAGTTTGAGACCAGTCTGACCAACATGGTAGAAACCCTGTCTCTACTAAAAATACAAAAATTAGCCAGGCGTGGTGGCACGTGCCTGTAATTCCAGCTACTCAGAAGGCTGAGGCAGGAGAATCGCTTGAACCCAGGAGGCAGAGGTTGCAGTGAGCCAAGATCGCACCATTGCACTCTAGCCTGGGCAACAAAAGCGAAACTCCATCTCAAAACAAACAAACAAACAAACAAACGAACAGAAAACAAAACAGAAAAGAAAAGAAAAATTGATGAGTGGGACCTAATTAAACTAAAGAGATTCTGCACAGCAAAATAAATTATCAACAGAGTAAACAGACAAGCTACAGAATGGGAGAAAATATTTGCAAACTATGCATCTGACAAAAGTCGAATACCCAGAATCTACAAAGAACTTAAACAACTGAACAAGTGAAAAACAAATAACCCAATTTAAAAATGGGCAAAAGACATAAACAGCACTTCTCAATAGAGGGCATACAAGCAGCCAACAAACATATTAAAAAATGCTCCATATCACTAATCACCAGGGAAATGCAAATCAAAACCTCAATGAGATATTATTTCACACCAATCAGTATGGCTATTATTAAAAAGTCAAAACAACAGATGCTGGTGAGGCTGTGGAGAAAAGGGAATGCTTACACGCTGTTGGTGGGCATACAAATTAGTTCAGTCACTGTGGCAGGCAGTTTAAAGATTTCTCAAAGAACACAGAAGTACCATTCAATCCAGCAATCCCATTACTGGGTAGATATCCAAAAGAAAACAAATCATTTTACCAGAAAGACACATGCACTTACATGTTCACTGCAAATCTATTAATGACAGCAAAGACACAGAACCAACCTAGGTGTCCACTAACAGTGGACTAGACAGAGAAAAATGTGGCACATATGCACCATAGAATACTATACACCTATAAAAAAGAATGAAATCATGTCCTTCACAGCAACAAGGATGAAACTGGAGGCCATCATCCTAAGCAAACTAATGCAGTAACAGAAAACCAAATACTGCATATTCTCACTTATAAGTGGGAGCTAAATCCTGGGTAATCATGGACATAAAGATGGCAACAAGCGAAACTGGGAACTAATAGAGGGGAGAGCAAGAGAGGGAGACAAGGGTTGAAAAATTAACTATTGGGTACTATGATCAGTACCTGGGTGATGAGATCATTCATACCCCACACCTTAGCATGACACAATATACCCAGTTAACAAAAGTGCACATATACCTCCTGAATCTAAAATAAAAGTTTAAAAAAAAAAAAGAAAGAAAAAAAGAAGACAGAAGAGATACAAGATGCAAAGTATTCCATGCAACAGAAACAGTAACGATAGACTTTCGGCTGGATTTGCTCTTTGCATTCAGAGATCAGAGATCAATGTGAAAAAGAGGAATCCTATGACTAAAATACTGATTCTACATAGTTCTTCCTGTCTACCTTAATACTGAAAACATTAAGGGGGACAAAGAAAGCTTCATGCTATTTGATTATCATTTTCATCAAAAGGGTGTCCATTTAAATTTTTTTCTCATTTCAAAGTGATACATTCATTAAAGAAAAAATTTGAAAATCTGATAATTAAAAAAATGAGGAAATAAAAACCATCTTTAACGTTTTTAAAAAGAGTGAGAGAGGGAGGGAGGAAGAGAAGTGGAGTTCTATGGAGTTTGCTATATAACGGGCTTTTCAATTTACCTTTTTATGGAGGTAAACTGTGATGATTAAGGTGGAGATAAGTTCAAGAAACTAAAAATGAGGAGAAGAGGAAAGAGAGGTAAAGAGGGTTGGGTGAGAGATGAGGGGAATAATGGATGAAAAAGGCAGTGGTTCAGGTTTATTCCCACTATAGATTGCTCCTACAACTCCCTAGAACATGAGCCAGCAGAGTATTAAATACAAAAATGGTTACTGTGACGGGAAAAATTTTCTGGTGTCTAACACCCACTTTGCTTGTATCTTTTATCTCATGAGAAGACAACTTTTAGATGCAACCTCACAGAACAGTAACACTGATAATCTCTCTTAAATCTTAGCTGTAATGAAAAGCACAGAAAAGACAAGGGAAGACTCTCAGTGGTTAAAAACAAAAGAATACCTAGACAGAGTTCTGTATCAGACCATCCCAGACTACAAAGAATAACCAGTTCTATGGATTATCTAAACTTTCCAAAGTTTTCCAGGATAGCAGAGGAAATAGCCTGTTTCCCCTGGAAATACTGTCGACTGGAATGGAATTTATGGGAACATACCTGGCTAGTTTGTAAAAACTATCTCATCCTGGCCAGTTCCTCAATAGTTTCCATGTGCTTACCATAAACAAAAGTGCACAACACTACTGCTCTTCAGTCTCACTGTGATATTGCTGAGATCCTGCAATTCTTAATCTGAAAACCAGAATCAATAGGGATAAGGGTAATGAAAATACATAAATTGGATTTTTCTAGGGTTTGTTTAATGTTACTGGATAGTTACTTATTGACACAGTGTTTCTGGGAAGGGAAAAAAAATAACCCTACCTCACGGGGCTTTTGTCAACAAAGCCACCAAAGAAGAATGACAGGGAGACCAGCTGGAGCAACATTAATGTACTTAGGTCAACAGAGATCTTCCTCAAAATGCTAGATACTGAAGTTTTAAATGTATGTGAAAATTGTGAAAATACATATCAAAGCAGTAATAGCCCAAATCTAAGGGGTGAATAGGCAAAATATTTTATTAGAAGACTAACATGAGAGTGTGTGCACAGAGAGGAAACCATCGAATAGGGGACCATGACAGATTCAATTAAAACAAGTTTCCATCCAGGGTTCTCTTAGGCTGAAGGGTACTTCAGGCAAAGATGGGTCCTAAGAGGGGGTGAATTTGCTGCAGGATAAGCAAAAGAATAGGACTCTTTAATCTATTGTATATGTTGGTATTACCCAAAAGATGTGAAAAAAAACAATTAAAATCATTTAAAAACCAAACTTGAATGAGGATAAACTACATAGAACCTTAATTTCATATGTGGTATCTCTTCCAATAAAATTGAAAAGGACAGTGATTGAAAATGATGATGAGCAAAAGCTTGTGAAACAAAAACAGGACCCAAAAACAACGTGTGTCCAAAATGGACTTTTAATTTGCCTCTAATTTAGCACAGCATTATTAACATCCTTTGTCAGTTACCATCCATGTGATTTACTCTACAATTCAGCATTTTGAATTGTTTTTATGAAACTAATTTTGCTTTATGGAATCATGAATGAGGACTGGAAAATCATTAGTGTGTGAAAGTGTCCTCTGTGCAATCCCAAAAATTACATTTATGACAACAAAAACTAATAGTCAATGTATTTAATATTATTTTACTAAAAATTTAGAAACAGGAAATAGAAATGGCTATCATATCATTCAACTAAATTAAAAGCTACTCTGTAAAAGGAAGGTAGCACAAAACCAAAACAGAGAAAAATGATAAGCCCAAGTAAAGGTTTCAAAAGTGACTAAAAGCCCCGCACTGTGGCACTCGCTTATACTCCCAGTTACTTGGGAGGCTGAGGTGGGGAGTTCACTTGAGCCCAAGAGTTTGAGGTCAGCCTGGGCAACACAGTGAGACCTCGCCTCTAAAAATAAAAAATAAAAAGTGACTAAAGCACAAGGATTCACTCATTCAACAAATATTTATTGAGCACCCTGTAAGTTTAAGGCATCATAGGATAAAGTACACACATGAAAAGCTTGACAAAAGAAAATTTTGAATGTAAGAGATAATATCAAAGAATAAGGAAGGGTCAAAACTTTTTAACTATTTAACTATACTGGATAAACTCAGGAGGATAAATACCCACGGCAAATTTTTTAAACTACTCAAAATGTGGTGAGAGTTTACAAGCCATTTAAACAGGAATACAAACGATCACAATGAAAAGGCTTCTTGTGGGGGCAGGAAGGAGGGAGGAGGGGGAGAAAAAAAACTTTCTATGTATACATGTCTGCTCATTTAACATTCCTTGAAGGAGGTATGACTAAATCTGAGTTTAAATTGAAATAAATTTTCTTAAATAGAAAGAGTTATTAAGAATCTAAAGCAAGCTAGAAAGCTAGAAAACAATAATACAGAATCTTATCCTTTCAAGGCTAAAAGGAACTACCTTAGAGAACATCTAACCCAGAACTTTAATTCTGTCAATAAAGGAGGTCTGACAAGTAATTTCCTCGGGGTGAAAATCTTATCATTTTTAGTTTTAATTCAGAAACTATACACAAGTGGTATATATTCTCTACAAAATTAGATATTCTATATCAGCCAAAATTTTAAAAAACCCATACACTAGAGCCATTCAACACTTTTGTATATATTAATTTTAGGTTTTTTAAGAAAGAGAATGACTGAGAGATAAGGACAAAAAGGAACAAAGAGAGAGAAAAGAAGAAATAGAATATATACCCTACACAAGAAGGGCATCATATTAATCACACTATTTTGTAAATCCTTAATGGAATATTTTTCTATATCAGTAAGTGTACATAACTTAAAATGTATTATTGACTAGAGGAACTGCACTTTTGTATGTTGATACCTTTTAAATAGTAAACATCAGTAAACAGTAAACACTGTGCAAATGAACACACCAGTAGTGGTGGAAATAATAATTTAAAAGATATAAATCTGTTGTAAGTGTAATAATAATTTTATTTTGTCATTTTCTGACACCCACACACATATGCACATATACAACCACCCTCAATTTTCTTATTAATAGACAAGAAAATGTATTGATTATAAAAACTCTAAAGTTTCTCTGACCTCTAAAATTTTGATTCTGTACTTATGTTGTACACCTTTAATAGTTTTCCATGAGGCTTCTCCCATAATAACTATTTTTTTTATTAAGTTTCAAGCTTACTCTTACTTGGTTCAAGAACAGTTTCATATATATGAATAGCACTATGGAAGGTTATTCACACAAACTTAGTTAATGCTTACCACAACCTGCGATGTAGATAACATGAAAATTAAGTAATTTGTTGAATATCCCCAGATGATAAGTAGAGGGAATGGAATGAAGGCTCCTAGTTACATTTTCTTAAAGATTCTATCCATTACATCACATGAAGTTTTTTTTTGTTTTTTGTTTTTGAGACTGAGTCTCATTCTGTCCCCCAGGCTGGAGCTCAATGGCACAATCTTGGCTCACTGCCACCTCTACCTCCCAGGTTCAAGCGATTCTCCCGCCTCAGTCTCCCAGGTAGCTGGGATTAGAGGCGCCCACTACCACGCCCAGCTAATTTTTGTATTTTTAGTAGAGATGGGGTTTCACCATGTTGGCCAGGCTGGTCTCGAACTCCGGACCTCAGGTGATCCACCTGCCTCAGCCTCCCAAAGTGCTGGGATTACAGGCATAAGCCACCTCGCCTGGCCCAAGTTACATGTCTTAATATATTCACTGAGGCATTTATTAAGCACCTATTATAACAACAACAGGATTAGTATACTAGGAAAATACTCATTTAAAAGGACTGAGGAAATAAATGTACACTGGGACTGGTAAAGCAGAGTTCTAATGTAGTTATAAATAATGAAACTATGTAGAAGAATAAATAATTAGTAAATAGGTTAATAGAAAGCAAACCTAATTTTAAAATGATTGAAGGAAAAATAAATATGTCTATGTTTAGAACAACAGGAACTGGTTAACTACTAAATGCAAAATTTTATTTTTCTTTCTTTTTTTTTTCAGGACATCTGTTACATGGCTATTAATGCAAAATATTCTGACTTTTTCTTCTTTTAATCAAGTTGTACTTTGGTTTGGCTTTCTGGATGGTTCATAACAATTAAGCATGTTTGAATACTAACTGTAGCATTATTTCCCATGATCTTAAAATTTTCATCAAACTTAATAAGAAATGAGGTATATTTTACAAACAAGTTTTAGCTCTCTTGGAAGAAAGGTGGTAAATTAATAACTGGAAATACTACTATCATTATATATAATTTATTAAAGGGGCAAAGAGGTTATTTCCTTAACTACTCTGAAAAGGAGGAAGACTGTTAATAAGTTAATTTGGGACACAAGATAGTCATATTCCACATTCTTTGTTTTAAATGTAGACAGCTGAATGTTCACTCAAAAGATTTATTTCAAACCTTCTCTATGCAAAGCATTATGCTAAGTGCTATATGAATACAAACAAGGCTACCAACTAAGATGTTATCCCTAACCTCATGGAAAAGAAGATATAAGGTGTGGTTTTGTATTTACATAAATCAATTTAGCTCTCTTTGAGAACTATCTGTGGGTATCAGTATGCATTTTTAGGATTAAAACAGAAACAATGGGCCAGGCAAGGTGGCTCACACCCGTAATCCTAGCACTTTGGGAGGCCAAGGCAGGTGGGTCACTTGAGGTCAGGAGTTCGAGGCCATTCTGACCAACATGGTGAAACCCCGTCTCTACTAAAAATACAAAAATTAGCTGGGCGTGGTGGTCCACACCTGTGGTCCCAGCTACTCAGAAGGCTGAGGCAGGAGAATCACTTGAACCTGGGAAGCAGAGGCTGCAGTGAGCAGAGATCATGCCACTGTACTCCAGCTTAGGCAACACAATGAGATGCCATCTCAAAAAAAAAAAAAAAAAATGGTGCTCTGGGTCTCCTCACAGATTCACAAATTCTTTCCAACATGCTTTATTATTTCTTGATAAGATGGTCAAATGATACATACTTAAACATAAAAAAATTTAAAGCTATTCATTAAATGTACATAAAACAACATAATAATTCTTTGAATTTAGCAGTCGTATATTTGGGTCTACTTTTATTATATTGCCAACTGCTATGGTTTGAATGTTATATGTTGAAAACGATCCTTAACGCAACAGTGTTGAGAGGTTAGACCTTTAAAAGGTGATTAGGTCATAGGGCACTGGCCTCACAAATAGATCAATGTCATTATCATGGAAGTGGATTTATTTCTTTGAGAGTGGGTTTGTTATAAAAGCAAGTTTTGCCCCTTCTTGCTCTCTCTCACTTGGCCTTTGCACCTTTTGCCACGGGATGACTCAGCTGGAGGGTCCTCATCAGATGTGGCCCCTTAATCTTGGACTTCCCAGCCTCCAGAACCATGAGCCATATAAATTTATGTTCATTATAAATTACCCAGTCTCAGGTATTCTGCCATAGCAGCACAAAACAAACTAAGACACCACCTTCTGCTTCTAGCCTCAACCTGATATATCAGAGCCAAGTATGAGGGTTAATCAAAATCTTCGCCTAAGATAGATAGATAGATAGATAGATAGATAGATAGATAGATAGATAGATAGACAGACAGACAGACAGACAAATAGCTTGAGATTATGAAAGCTAAGACAAAACAGTGATAATCTGGATGCTCTGCTGTGTACTAGAATTATCCAAGGTGCAGACTGCCAGACCCCTCTACTGGAGATTTTAATTCTACAGGTTTAGGTGCACCCAAGAACCTGTGTTTTTACATAAATATATTTGGAGAAACACTGACCTTCAGAATTACCATCAATACAGAATTAGAGTTCCTAACTTACCATCTACATGTGTCATTTTTTAAGATGCCAGAACTATTATCATTTCTTTCAATATTTCTGAAGTGAAACTATGTGCTGACCTCCATAGCACACATTTACAACTATATACACCCATGTTTCTGCCCACTTCCCACCAGATAGATGAATGGATAAAGACAGGTATAGACTGATAGATCTGCCCACTCATTTACCTAATATATATTAAAGAAAGCAGATATTTTGCCTGCATATCAGAAAATAATTCAAGTGTTTAAAGATTTTCACATCTGAGAAACCTGAAATTCTATCCTAAAAAATCAACAAACAAAAGCAAAAAGCTACAACTGAAGGAAACTTCCAGGAAAGTTCTCTAAAGATTTTAAGTTATTAACAACAGTCCTTAATTTACCTGCCATCCCGTTGAGCAGCACCACCTTCTGTTACTGTCTTGACGAATATTCCCAGCTTTTCAAGTCCAGCATCTGCTCCAACACCCATTCCAATAATACTTATACCAAGACCATCCTCATCTATTAAAAAGAAAAAAAGGGGGGAGGTGAAACAACTTAAGTTTTACACTAGTCTGCAATTAGCTGGTGAGACCTACTTGCTGTTTCTAATTTTATTTTTCCTTATGGATAGGACAATAACATGCTTGCTTTAGCAGAATTCTTTTCTAAGCTACGCAGTAAGGGTATCTAATGAGATCCTCCAAAAGGCTCATGCATTTAGCATCATTTTACTACTACTGTTGGTAATTCACTGTGGTCTCAAGAAAAGGTAACAACTTGATTATTGAATAGTCACTCTGCCTTAAAACCTAGATTCTCTAAATAATGCAATGAATTATTTTAGGCGTAAGAGTACACATATTCAAACATATAATTTTAAATAAATCTGATCATAACATATCTGGAATTCCTCCTTCATTTATATGGTCTTTTCTTCTTTACTTGTTTATTCATGTTAATAAGATAGTACATGTGGCTGGGCATGGTGGCTCATGCTAGCAATCCCAGAACTTTGGGAGGCTGAGGCAGGTGGATGGCTTGAGGCCAGGAGTTCAAGACCAGCCTGGCAACATGGTGAAAGCCTGTCTCTACTAAAAATACAAAAAGTTAGCCGGGTGTGGGGGCAGGCACTTGTAGTCCCAGCTACTTGGGAGGTTGAGGCAGGAGAATCGTTTGAACCCAGGAGGCGGAGGTTGCAGTGAGCCAAGATTGTGCCATTGCACTCCACCCTGGGTGACAAAGCGAGACTCCATCTCAAAAAAAAAAAAAAAAAAAAAGATAGTATATTTGAGTACTTTCCTCTGTGCTTCTATACCCAAGAATATATACTCATCAACAACTATAATATATACATATACTTAGACATATATGAATGTATATATATGTATATATAGCTTGTTTTTCCTTCTTATTTGCTTACACAAATGAGATTATACCTACTTCTCTTTACTGCTTACTTTTTAAAAACCAATGAAGCGCCTGGGCACAGTGGCTCACGTCTGTAATCCCATCACTTTGGGAGGCTGAGGTGGGAGAATCCCTTGAGCCCAGGAGTTCAAGACAAGCCTGGGCAACAGGGTGAAACCCTGTCTCTACTACAAATAGAAAAATTAGCTGGGCATGGTGGGGCACACCTGTAGTCCCAGCTGTTTGGGGGCTGACGTGGGAGGATCACCTGAGTCTGGGAGGCAGATGTTGCAGTGAGCTGAGATCATGCCACAGTGCTCCACCATGGGCAACACTGCGAGACCCTGTCTAAAAAAAAGATAAGTCATGGATATCAATGTCCTCAATGTCCATATCTCTAAATTATTTCTAATGACTGAATAATATTTCATGGTGAGATGGTATCATAATGTATCCAACCATTCTGTATTCACATTTTTATTTCCATTTTACTGGTCCTATGAACAATACTGTGTGACTTTTTTTTTTAATTCACTTACAAATCACGTTTATCCATATTTCCATTTGTCCTTTCTGTGAATATATAAAAGATACACTATTTTGCGTGCCACATGTTTTAGTTAAAGTTCAAGGTTATTTTCTGATAGCCTCAAAGTCTTTGTAATCATGCTTTACTAGCAGCATAAAAATACTAACTAATCAACAGTGATGGATTATTAAAGAAATATTGGTCCATATACTCAACAGAATGACACTTTTAAAAGACTTTTCAGCAATAACCTTCACTTTCTTAAGCATTTTTTCTGTTTTTCTTTCTTCTTCTTCTTTTTTTTTTTTTGTTTGAGACAAGGTCTCACTCTGTTGATCAGGCTGGAGTGCAGTGGCGCCATCATGGCTCACTGCAGCCTCAACCTCCTGGGTTCTGGTGATCCTCCCACCTCAGCCTCCGAGGTGCTGGAACTATAGCCATGTGCCACCACATCTGGGTAATTTTTTGTGTTTTTTTTTTTTTTTTTGTACAGACAGGGTTTCACCATGTTGCCCAGGCTGGTCTCAACCTCCTGGGCTCAAGCAATCTCCTGCCTCAGCCTCCCAAAGTGCTGGTATTATGGATATGAGTCACCAGGCCTGGCCAGGATTCTTGTAATTAGTATTCTTCGGATGAAGGTTTATCTCATACATTACTACTTATAACCAACTTATGCCTGAAGTATTTCCAAGTACACCTGACAATCTTATATCTTTATTCTACATATGTTTTAAAAGATGTCACTTGGCAAAAGTGTGATTTGTTTGCTCAGTGGTATGCTAGAGGAATCTTTACAGTGTTTCCCCTGGATGAGCTGCCTGATGCAAACCCCAGCTGAAGGCACTTCCACATTGATTCTAAGCATAGGTGTCTCTTTAGTGTGAAAACTTTAATGCTGACTAACATAAATAATCTCTGAAGACTTTCCTCATTCATTACATTTATTAAGTTTATATACATGTGATTTCTCCTATTTATTCAAATTGTTTCTCTGGTATAAAGACTGATTTCATCAAGAGGATTTATCTTGTTAAAGATTTTCTACATTCATTATAGTTTTAAAGTTTCGCCACAGAAACTTTAAAATCTTCGTACACAGAGATTTGTTGTGTACATGAAGGTTAGATGTGTGCTGAAGGCTCTCCCACACTGGTTACATGCATAGGGTTTTTCTCTCTCCCACCATGAATTCTCTTGTGTGTATAAGGTTAGCGGATAGCTGAATTCTTATTGACATTCGTCACATTCATAGGGTTTCTCAAGAAAATGAATTTTTTTTCACACTGATGAAGGATGAATGATTGCTGAAAGCCTTCCCATAGTGTTTACATCCATGTAAGTTTTTCCCCTTAGTGTATTGCTCTTGTGTTGTTTAAGAGATGATCAATGTAGCCTCTTCCATGCAGAAAAATACCATAGAATTTCTCTCCTGTATGAAATCTCTGGTGTATATATGTATTAGTATTCTGGCTGAATTCTTGCTCACTTTCATTATACTCACAGGGTTTCTCTTCAGTATAACTTATCACATGTCAAGCCAATGTAGAGCTGTGAGTCAAACTTTCCCATACTCATTACCGTACAAAAGGCTCCTCTCAAATGTGAAATCTCCATACTGTCACACCATTAAATAATTTCTTCCTGCAACTATCTTGAGTGAAAATTACTTCTTGGTTTCTAAATCCATTTTCTCTGCCTAGACTCAGGTCTTGGTAGAATTCTCTTTCTTCCTTCCATTGCTCCTCTCATTGCTTTTAACTGGAAAATTACTCAGATTTGCAGAGCTGAAAATCCAGTTGCAGAAAAAGCAATATTAACTCAAGCCATCCTCAATTCTAATGCAAATTACTTACAAGGACAACATGATGACTGAAGGGCAATACAAGAAAGAGCACAATCAACGCACAGAGACCAGAAGACTGATGTTCTCCAGCATCTTATTTACATACAGCTTTCTCTGAGTGAAGTCTGGAACCTCATCCTTAAAGGCCACTTATTATTCCTGTGGCTGACCCATCGAGAACCCAGCTGCACCCTGTCTTCCTCTCCATACATTCCTAGGGACAGGCAAAGCACCAAGGCAAAACAGCCATAAAATGACGGCAAAGACAGAGGGACTATGTTATTATGGAAGACACTATTGTCATACTATGGAGCCCAAAGCTTATTTTCTAACTTCTGGTTTCCCATTTTGGTTAAGACTCTCCTGCCACAAGCCTAGATGATATATGCAGTCATTTAAATTTTCTTTACAACATCTTTAATATGTTATTATTTAACCCATGTAGAGTTATTTATTTTTACCTATGCTGTAATGAAGGTATCCAACTTTAGATTCTTCTAGATAGATTCTCAGTTATGCCAGAACAATTTATAAAGCACATAATTACTTCTAAGCTGAAATATCATGTGTGTCATATATTAAATTCTCACACATACTAACATCTTTTTCTGGATTTTCTATTTTGTTCCACTGATCAATTGCCATTTGAATACAATTTGTTCTGATTACAAAAGCTTTACATTATATTTAGATATTTGGAAAATTAAGTCATTCATATTCCTTTTCATACTTAAGTCTGTATTTCTCCAGACTTAAATTTTACCAAAAAAATTTAATACTGTTTTTTGCAATTCTCCTCTCCCAACCCAACTTTGTTGGCAGTTCTATTTGGAGCCTTCTTGTCCAAGAATATGGTTTGTCTTTCAATTTGCTTTCAAATAGAAATGACTTTCAAAAAGATGTTATTATTTTATCTAGATAAATTTCATGTTTTTCTTAGTAATAAATATTTTGTTGTTTTGGTGCTACTGTAAATAAAATATTTTTCCCATTTTCATTTCTAAATTCTTAATGTGATTACATAGAAAAAATTGATTTTTATACATATCTTGAATGTAACCTCTTCCTCCACAAATTATTTTACCAAATCTAATATTGAATCAATTTGGTTTTCTAGATAGATATGGATATGAATATATCAGCAAAAGATGATGCTTTTCATCTTTTATTTGCTGTTATTTATACTGGTCATTTCATTTAAAGGGCATTACAAATTTGATTTCTGGTTTTAATTAAAATATCTTTAGTGTTTACTCAATTTAGAATTAGAATTCTCTGTAGGTATTGTAAATTTATAGTTTGCATAAATTTAGGCAGCTTCCATCATGTGTTAATTTACAGTCTTTCTTTAAAGTGGTAAATGTTACCAAATTGACATCTTTTCATACCAATTTGACATGAAATTTAAAAAATTTAAGGGCTTTTCCTTTAAATTGTATGTGGATGAATCTTTGAATAATGAACCACTCTATATCCTTGTATCTAAAACTCCATTTGATCCTAATGAGTCTTTCTTTCTTTTTTTTTTTTTTTTTGAGACAGAGTCTTGTTCTGTCACCCAGGCTGGAGTGCAGTGGTGTGGTCTCGGCTCACTGCAACCTCCACCTCCCAGGTTCAAGCAATTCTTCTGCCTCAGCCTCCTGAGTAGCTGGGACTACAGGCACGTGCCACCACGCCGGGCTAATTTTTTTTATTTTTAGTAGAGATGAGGTTTCATGTGTTAGCCAGGATGGTCTCAGCCTCCTGATTTCGTGATCCGCCCATCTCAGCCTCCCAAAGTGCTGGGATTATAGACATGAGCCACCGCACCTGGCCTTTTCTCTTCAACTATTTCTATATTTGATATTTTATTTCATTTAGCATTTTAAAATATATATTCACAATTGTAGTTGTATTATAGCAATCTTTTTTGTAGCATATTAGTTTTGGGTATAAACTTATATGGTATTTCAATGAAATGAAGAGTTTTCCTTTATTATCTATGATCTAAAATAGTTTAACACTGGCTTTATGCATTCTTTAAAGGTACAATAGAATCATCTGGTTGTGATGACATTTTAATGTTTTATCTGTAGTTATCATTCTAGTTTCTTCTATAGCAATTAGTCTATTTTACTAAAGTTGATTCTGGTAATTCAAATTTTGTTAGGACATAAATTATTTCTGGGCATTCACCTCATTTGACAAAGAAATGCAGTGACTGACTGATCTTTTATAGTAACACTATATATTTTTCTTCCATTCCTAATTTGCATAAGTTTACTTTCAATTTTCTCCACTCAGTATTATGATTGATATATTTTATAGATGTATTCAATGAAAAGGATTTGTATTACCTTATTTTACTAGATTTTCTTTTCTATGTTATTAATAGTGTTTTTACATATACTACTCTTCCTTGCTAGTTTGTTTGATTTATTTGGTTTACTTTTCCTGATTTCTAAGACAGGTCCATTTTTTGCTTTTCAAGTTTTTTATTTTAAAGAAAGAAATCAAGGATATAGCTTTTCCTCTGAGTAAAGGTTTTGCTGTGTGCTACAGACTTTTTTTTTTTTTTTTTGAGACGGACTTTTTAAGTTTAATCCTTTCCACGATGGTTTGGGATATGAGTTATAATTTTCTCTTCAATCAAACATCTACCTAGGAATGTATTATGTAATTTCCAAATTCTCATATTAAAGGAACCTTTAACATTTTTCCAAAGGATAAAACTTTTTCTTTTAAAATACAGCTTGAAATAGAGTTCATTATATTAACCCACTCCTTGATTTTTGTTTTCTGTCCATAAATCTGTCCAGTTCTGAAAGAAATATATTGAAATCTCCAATAATTGTATTTGATTTGGTTACCTTCTAGTTTAATTTTTAGTATGAAATATGGCAACATACAAATGAGTTTAATATTTATCTACAAAACATTATGTTTAAAGCATAAAAATAAAACAAACATCCATGTACAAAGACACAGAATATTACCGACATCACAAAAGCCACTATATATCCCTCCCTGACACAGCAACTCTTTCCTCAGTGACCATTATACTAAACATTGTGTTAATCATTCCCTACTTTTTAATACTACTTTTTAAAAACTACTCATTTGTGTATCCCAAAACAATATGCTATTTAATTTTTTTGGTTTGAAATGTAAGTAAATGCAATTATATTACACTAAATGGTTTCTTCTGTGGTTTGCTATTTTTACTTTCCCTCGATATCATGTTAAGAATCATACATACTGCTGCATGAAGTGTGGCACCTCCATTTTCGCTGCTGAGTAATATTTTATTGCCTAGATATGCTACAATTTATAGACCCTTTCTACCATTGATGAATATTTGGATTGGTCTTGTTTTTTTGCTACTACCAAAATAAGTAATATGATGGCCCAGCTGTGTTTGTATGGCCAATGAACTAAGAATGGCTTTTATGTTTTAAAATGTATGAAAAATGTAAGCATTACTCTTTAATTCACTTTAACTCCAAATGAAAGTGTCTTTTAACAGGAGTAATCCATCAGTCATGTTTGGTGTAATATGACTAGTATTCTTCATACTTTTTCATTTAAGCAATTGTATGTTTAATACTTCATAGTTTTCACCTCTTTTTTCCTTGCCCTTGCTGTTTTGAACAAGCTGCTCTTTGTTTCACTCCCTCCCTGCTAAATTGGACAGTGAATTACTCAGATAAAGTATGTAGGCAATGTGTTCTTTAAATCCTTAGATAGCAGCAGATGTCTTTCTTTCACCAGGATAGGTAAATGCTTTCTGGGATGGATATGGGATTCTTGGATCACCATCCTTTTTACCCTCAGTGGCATGTAAAATTATTTCTACATCTCCCTGCTTCTAGTGTTACAGTCTGATGCTAGTCTAATTATTTTGCCTTTGCAAGTATATTTGCTTGTTTGTTTGGTTGGGTATTTTTTGGCCTGGAATTTTTTAAGCTCTTTCACTTTATCTTTGAATATTAGGATTTTTTCCCAGGCTATGCCTAAGTGTGGGATCAGTTTGGGGTTATTTAGCCCTCTCACTCATAAATGGATAAGTTCTTCCTAATATAAGCCTCAGATCTTCTTTTTAAGGACAAGAAATTTTTCTTCTATGATTATTATTAGTCTGTCCTTCTCCATTGTCGTTTTTCTCTTCTGTTGCCTACAACTTATATATTGGGACTCTTTCATGATTTTTCTTGGATTTTTGCTCTGTCATTTGAGAATTCTTTTTGGAATATCTCTCAAACGTCATCTTCTAGATCGCCAACTTAAGTCTCAACAATAACTATCCTTTTCAATTCTTCCGGTGAAATTTTTCATTTCAAAATCAAGAAATTTGTTCTTGTTGCTAAGTTGCTCAAGAACGTCTTTTTTTAAATCTGTATAAATTCAGGGGAGTACATGTGCAGGTGTGCTATATGGATATATTACATAGTGGTGAGTCTGGGCTTTTAGTGTAACCTTTACCTGAATAGTTCGCATTGTGCGCAAGTGGTTATTTGTCAAGCCCCATCCCCCTCCCACCCTCGTAAACTTTTGGAGTCCCCAGTGTCTATTACTCTGCTCTGTATGTTGATGTGTACCCACTGTTTAGCTCTCACTTATAAGTGAGAACATGCAGCAAATAACTCTGTGTTTCTGAGTTATTTCATGTAGGGATAATGGCCTCCAGCTCCAACCATGTTGCTGCAAAAGACATGATTTCATTCTTTCTTATAGCTGCACAGTAGTCCATAGTGTATACATGCCCCATTTTCTTTATCCAGTCATCTATTGATGAATACTTAGGTTGATTCCATGACTTTGCTATTTCCAAGACTATTTCCATTGGATAGTATTCTGTTAAACATACAAGCACAAGTCTCTTTTTGATACCATTTCTTTTCCTTTGGGGAGATATTCAGTAGTGGGAGTGCTTGGTCAAATGATAGTTCTATGTTCAATTATTTGAGAAATCTCCACACTGTTTTCCAGAGATTGTACTGATTTACATTTCCCCCAACAGTATCTAACCATTTTCTTTTCTCTGCATCCTTGCTAACATCTGCTGTTTTTGACTTATTAATAATAGCTGTTCTGACTGGTGTGAGATGGTGTCTCATTGTGGTTTTGATTTCCATTTCTCTGATGATTAGTGATGTGGAGTGTTTTTTCATGTTTGTTGACTGCTTGTAAGTCTTCTTTTAAGAAATACCTGTTCGTGTCCTTTGCCCACTTATTAATGGGTTTCTTTCTTTTTGTTGTTGTTGTTGTTGAGTATTTGAGTTCCACATAGATTCTGAATATTAGTCCTTTGTTAGAGGCATAATTTGCAAATGTCTTTTTTTAAGCCATGCTTGAGTATCCTTGGGTAGGTTTTTGTTTCTTTTTTTCTTGTTATTCAAGTCATCATCTGTTTGTTCTACTCTTTTTTTTTTCAAAGCTCTCTCAGAGGTGTTATTTCTCTGTTCACTGAGTGACAGTTCAGTTCTTGGGTGCCCATCTTACATCTTACCTGGTAATCTCTGATCCCACGGGTCAGCAGTTACTACAGTAGGCAGGGTGTCATTCCTGGGAGAGAAATCAGAAGGAAGCCTTTCTGCTCCCTCTTCTCCCTGCTCTCTTTCAACCTTCTCCCCTCAGAGGGGGAGAGGATGTAGCCCTACTATTTAAATTTCCTTGGATTCTACCGCCTTTATTAAAAATCTCCATAATTTTCCAATTATCCACCAAAACAAAAGAAAGCGACCATCTGCCCCAAGCTCTCATATACCAGCTCTTTCTGGGCTCTCAGCTGTAGCAGCCCTTTCCAGGAATACCAACAAAGCATTAGGCCTCACTTATACCTCCCTGATCCTAACCACCATCGCAGCCAGCTAAGATAGATGGGTTTCAGTTGGGAGTAAAACTTTCAATCCACCATCTACTCAGAATCCATATCAACTATTTTTGAAACTTAATAAATAAGATCCTCTGTTAGAATTAAAATTTTATCCAATCCTTAGAAAAAAGGCTACATTTTGGAAAAATAATTCTGTATTATTAACATAGCAACATAATGATATTAACACTGTAGCACTCACGAACCTTTCTCTAGCTCCACTGGGAAAAGTTCCAGCTTTTCTACACGTTTTTCAAGTTCATACTCAGCTGAAGCAGCCACAGGGTCAACTTCGTCATTTCTCCTGTCATAGTCTTCATTGGAGTATGTGTTGAAAACCTGTAGTAAGAGGCCAACAAGATGATAATACAGAAAAAAAAAAAAACCTGCCAGGTATCCAAAACTATGTAAGTTTAAACATTCATGTGATGAATTTCTTCTAAACAACTGTTTTGTCTTTAAAATCAATTGAGATGTTAAGAAAAGGAAAATTGAGTCAGTATAAAAGTAACTTACTAATTTTTAAAATGTGTAAGCGATAGTACCACTTTTAATCATTTAAGAGACAAAGTAGCCTCAGAACACATTATGTGAATAGCAATATTTATCGCCTTTTATAGAATCAGAATGAATCATATTAGCTGGAACGCTCTGCTGTTTCCCAATAAAACTAAGGTAAACCATCTTGAAGCTACCTAAGCAAATACCTACACTGAACCTGTTTCATGGTATGACCTATACTAGCCCTGAAGTAGCAGGGTGTCAGTATTATAATGCTGTCTCAATCATAAGATCACTGAACCTGACCTCCATTCTAACACTGTCCTGGGCTCTTGTTTGTCATCCCTCATTTTACTTGCATATACATTTAAATTGAATTCTCATTGAAACTTTTATGAAATTATTATGAAAATATCGCTAAAGGGCTGTACAGCAAACAGGATATTGAAGCTGTTTATTTCTTACCTACATCATTTAAAAGACAACTAAATGTGGCCTTCAGATATAGCCATAAGAAACTTGATTGTCCTTATTTCTGCTGAAATGTTTATCTTAAAAGGAACTGAAGTAGTTGTCCAATCCCTCTCTTAATACAGGAAAAAATATATGAAAGAAATAAATGTATAATTCATCAAGTCCAATTAATATACATAACAGACACTGGCATTTTCAATAAAATTCAATAATTATTATGCATCTAAACTGTGCCTAAAGAAACTGTGCTCCCCCAAAAATCATAAAATCTAGGATTAGATTTTAAAATAATATTTATAAAAAGATGCAGTAGAAACAGAAGGCAGAAAAGAAGGCCAAAGACTAAAGAAATCATGTCTATTTCCTACAAAGCTGGCCCTGCTGTTCTATGGACACTTTACATTTGTATTATTGGAAAACAAGTAATTCCTATATTCTATATATGGTAACCTATAAACCAAAAATACATACGCATATATAGAAGCAGATATAATGTAGCTCCTAATGGTACATGCTTCTTAAATAGTATCATTTGTAGGATTTGTACCTGAGTGGGTACTGTTTTCTTCTTGACTTTCAACATGTTTTCATAGCCTCATGCCACTTGGATCCCTATTTGGTCTCTACCATGTTTCTTCACCATAGTAAACCTTACTGCATCAAAATGCACATTTCCATAGTATAGGGTTAGTGCTTTTATTTATCTTTTCATAATATTCATAAATATTAGCATGTTTCCCATGCTAATATTTTTCTTTTTCTTTTCTTCTTCTTTTTTTTTTCATTGAGATAGGGTCTTGCTCTGCACTCCAAGCTGGAGTGCAGTAGTAGGCTCACTGTAGCTTCTGCTTTCTGAGCTCAAGTAATTCTCCCACTGTAGCCTCCTGAGTAGCTAGGATTACAGGCACATGCCATCACACTCAGCTAATTAAAAAAAATTTTTTTTTAGAGGCGAGGTCTCACTATATTGCCCATGCTGGTCTTGAATTCCCAGGCTCAAGCAATCCTCCCATCTTGGCCTCCCAAAGTGCTGGGATTACCAGCTTAAGCTACTATGCCTGGCCTAATATTCTTCTTACATTGTCATACTTACAACTTTCTCTTAGACAGCTCTTTTGATCCTTCACTTCCTCTTATATTTTTAGTAATCACTTATTCACATTTATTCATTCAACAATATTTTACAGTTCTAAACTCATGTTTGACATTGTGCTAGGCACTGGAGAAGGAATAGTTTCTAGTAGCTTACAGTTTAGGAAGGACACAGAAATCAAAATAAGCACCTACAAAATAATGTGGTAACTGATATAAAAGCAGCATATACCAACTATTTTGTTTTTATTTTCCTGAGAAGGTAAAGAAGTTGTGAAGGCAAAGATATTTGACCTGAGTCTTGAAGAATAAACAGAAATTCACATATTTGACTGCAGAAGAGAAGGAATATATATTTCAAATATAAGACCCTAGACCAAAATATATATACACACACATACACATATCTATAGTTTTTTGGAAAACATTGATAGTTGAGTGTACTGCAATGGAAAATGCCTATAGAAGCAAGCTTTACACACAAAATAACAGTTAGCTGGGCCTGGGTCTCATGCGTCCCGGAAATCACTGGCAGATATGACTGGAAATTATTCATTAATATTTACCACTTCTCTACTTCTGCTAATAGGTCCCGGTTTATGACTGCAAAACAATGGTTTAAACAGTATTCATTCTGGAACATCACTCAATTTCACTAATACTAGTAAGTAAATAAATATGTATGCGTGTGTCTATATATAAAGTAAGTATGAAATAACTGTTTCAAATAAATAACTCCTTCCCAACATTTTTTTTTTCAGGATCCCAAACACTCTGATATCAGAATGTTCTTCCCTATTCGGGCTAGTTTATAAAGTTCATTTGAGAGTATTCTGAAATTAAATAAAACAAACCTAAAACAGTAAGACTGCATATTGGAAAATGATACTGTGTATAATTTTTGAGACATCTAGCAATCAGATGACTATGCCACCATTTCATTCTTTAATCTCAGCATTTTGGGAGGCCGAGGTGGGCAGATCATGAGGTCAGGAGATCCAGACTGTCCTCGCTAACACGGTGAAACCCCATCTCCACTAAAAATACAAAAAATTAGCCGGGTGTGGTGGCAGGCACCTGTAGTCCCAGCTACTAGGGAGGCTGAAGCAGGAGAATGGCATGAACCCAGGAGGCGGAGATTGCAGTGAGCTCCCGCGCCACTGCACTCCAGCCTGGGTGACAGAGCGAGACTGTCTCAAAAAAAAAAAAAAAAAAAAAAAAAAGAAAAGAAACGAAAAAGAAAAGAAAAGAAAAAGAAAAAGAAAATAATGTAATACACTCTTCATCTTCAGCTTACTTATAGGCTTGTAAATTAAGTAGGCATGCAGAAAACACTGCAAATTATTGAAAAAGAAAAGCCAGAAGTCGTTATTTGCAGATTAAACAACTGATTACTTGGAAAATCCAAGAGCTTTAACAGAAAAAGTATTAGAACTAATAAGAGTTCAGTAAAGCGATGTAACTTTTAAAACTCAATACCTATATACAAAAACTTAGAAAATACAACAAAATGATCAAAACAATAAAACACTTAGTAATTACCAACCATAAATGTACAAGCATTTTTCTCTCTATAAAACTAAGTGATGAGTACAAAAAGCCCTGAAGAAAGTGCAATGCCATATTATTTCCCTGGATTAAAATCCTTAATATTATAAAGACATCCACATTTCTAAATAACTGTAAATATCAGTTTACCCTAAGTTAATTTATGAATTCAAGACAATAAAAAATAAAATCCTACCTACATTTTTCGTGAAAACTAACAAGCAGTTTGAAAAAGAATAAGGGTAGAATCAGGCCCTAGTGGATATCAAAACACATAATAAAACTTCGCTTATTAAGGCAATATAGTTTGAGCTCTGGGATAGATCCATTTTTATATTCTATTCTGTTCCACTCCTTTTCTATTCAAATTAGAGTGGTCTATTTAATAAATTATGAAAAGAATTAGATACCTATCTGAAAAACATTCCTATTTATATCACAAAGAAAAATACAATTCAGAACAAAAATATATACATATATAAAAAGTGCCAAAAGAAAATTTGGGACAATGTTTAGCTAACAGGTTAGAAAGAAATTCACAGATCCTAGAAGTTCTAAAGGAAATAAATAATTTGATTAAAAATAAAGCCCAAAAACTTCTAGGCAATAAAATATACCATAATGAAGTTAGAAGAAAAGTCACAGATTAGCAGAAAGTATGACCAAATATTAAGATGAAACATGAATATTCCTAATATATAAAGGGCTTTATCAACTCAAACAATTGCATGTATAAGTAGGTAAAGGAAATTGAGAATTGAACAAAGAAGAAATACTAATGTCCAATTAATGATATAAAGATGTTCAGCTTTATTAAAAATTAAGCAAATGCAAATTAAAACAAGGAGATACTATGCATTCATCCATAAGAATAGATTTTTTTTAAAGACTACCACATCCAGGCAGGACACAGTGGCTCATGCCTGTAATCCCAGCATTTTGTGAGATCTAGGAGGGCCGATCACTTGAGGTCAGGGGCTTGAAACCAGTCTGGCCAACATGGCGAAACCCCATCTCTACTAAAAATACAACAATTAACTGGGCGTGGTGGCGTGCACCTCGGGAGGCTGTGGCAGAATTGCTTGAACCTGGGAGGCAGAGGTTGCAGTGAGCTAAAATCATGCCATTGCACTCAAGCCTGGGTGACATAATAAGACTCAAAAAAACAAACAAAAAAAAGACTACAACATCCAGTGTTTGTGAGGATATAGAAAAAAAGGATACTTTTGAAGAGGAAAGCATAACTAGAAAGTAGTTATCAATATTTTAAATGTAAATGTCTTTTACATAATCATGTCACATTTAAGTGTTTACAGAAATACTTGCAAATGTGTACAAAGATGTATTTCAAAAGAAGTTCATTACAGCACTATCTGTAATAGCCCAAAGCAGGAAATTGCCTAATTGTCCACCAGTAGAGAAAATGGCTTGCTAAATCATGATATATACAAATATGTAATTCAATGCAGTGATTGAAGAGATGTATATCTCTCTACTGACATGGAAGACCCCAAGATACATACATCGTTAAGCTGAAGAGCATGCTGCAGATAAAGAGAAAGATATTCCCAATTCATACGATCCCCAATTGGTATGGTCCCAATTTTAACCTAATTTAAAGCCCCCTAAATTCCCTAGCTATGTAGCACTTGCCAAGTTGTAAAACCATGCTAAGGCGCAGTCTCCTTATTTACAAAATGGTTTTTATAATAATGCCTATCCCCATAAGAGTATTAGGAAAATAAAATGAAATAGTCCATGTAATTATGCTTGGTTCAATGAGGGGAGAGGAAAAGCTTTCTCAGGGTAATATGAGGGATAATATTTCCCCTGATACCTACTACCCATATCATACTCTCTTTTTTTAAATTAAATTTAAAAACATTTTTAATAGAGATTGGGGTCTCACCATATTGCACAGGCTGGTCTTGATCTCTTGGCCTCAAACGATCCTTCCACCTTGGTCTCCCAAAGTACTGGGATTATAGGCATGAGCCCAGCCTCATACTCTCTTTCATAAACATGTTTTGAATATATCACCCACTAGGATGTTTAATGCCCTTTAAGCAAAAATCTGCATAACTGACTTAGTATTAGAACATAGATTAGGCTGCCAAAATCCCCACCTATGTCTAGAGCAATGCACTGTCATTACACAATGGCTCATGGCCTGCCAGGCTTTCTGTGTTTTCTCTGACCAGGAAGCCCTTTCATCTACATGATCTTGATTCTTTCCATTTTCTTACAATAGTTCTATTATTTTTATTAACCTTAATTGCTCTACAAAAAAATGGATAATTAATCAGATAATAATCAGAGCATGACTCCTCCTGGTATTCCAGCAACACAAAAAACTCTAAAGGCCAACAGCATTCTGAGTCCTAATGTTCAACACCAACAAGATATATGTATTTTTGTAGTTCAAGCTACCTTCACATTGTTCCTGTTTTATTTCACTGAGAAAAGTAAACAAAAGATGTTTAAATTTAAGACTTCTTGTTTCAGAGCCAATAAGTGATATTCTGGTTTCTCGATCAAAGGAAACAAAACAAGACCTCATCCACTGCTTCACAGCAGAGACAGGCTTTCAGGGGTAACAAGTTTACAAACACGGTTAGCAAGGACATTTCTGAACGAACAACCCAAGGCTATGAAAAGCAAATAAAGTAAAAATTAGCTTATTTTAAGATTTCAACTAGAATCATTATCTTATATACATTTTCAGTAGTTTGAACCACAACACTTTTTCAAAACAGCAGCAATACATTTTCAACAATAAGAAAAAAACTTATTTCCTTCACTTCTTTATGACACATTTTCTTTAATCAATGCAGGTCTAAATAAATTCAGCATATTCTATAAATACTGACTGGAAGGAATCTCCCACAATGCTTCCACACGGTCTCAGTTCAGGCTATGGTCCAGGTTCTGTAAAATCTTCCTGACACATCAAAGATGAAAAATGTTCCAGGTCCTAGCATGCTGAGTTTCAGATGATGGCTAGCAAAGTGTGCTCCTGGAGATAAGCCAAACATTCACATGCTTCCACAAACAGGTTACACTCATCACAAGCTTCCTTGGCAGAACCCTGACTCACCTTCACATGATTTCAGTGGCTCTGCAAAATAAGCTCTAAATTGAAACTAACAATAAGCCTGGAGAAGATAGCCACATATTAACATTCCAAAAACCAACCTGGCAAGCCTCACAAAGGAGGATTCTAATAGCTTTAGAGCAATGTATAATCTCAACTTTCCTTTTCTTCCCCCAAATTAAGGTTAGTTCACTGATCGACAATAGGTAGAATTATCTAGTGTATTGATTGTCCAGTGTGTGCCCGGGAGTATGTTAGGTGCTTGCTGCAAAATGAAGTAAGCCAAACTGGAGTTTATAATCATCAGACAATTTAGGGTAAACACTGGTAGTCTCCAAAGATGTAAACAGCTGAGGGCTTTAGTCTACTCCTCTGCAAGCTTTTAACATAAGGAGTATGTTACAATGAAAAGAAATTTCAAACTAAATTCTGCTCATGTAAAAACATTGCTTAACTGGAAGGTGCAAAAAACAGACTCATAGGCCTATCTCATAAAACTCTAAAATCCCAGATTTCTGTCCTTAAAAGTCATTTTGAAAAGTAGCCTGTGTGAAAGGTTTACTTAAAGCAGTTGCAACTACATTCTACAGTAGGATACATTTAACCTTCTAAGTGGATCACTCACCAGAATCCTACATACCACAAAACAGGATCAAATGGAGTACTAGTTAGGTTATTACTCCAAAAGCTGTTAATCTGCAAGCCTCGCCTGACCCAAAGTCTAGTTACATAAAATATTTCTAAGGCTAACCCCTGTATCTTCAACATCATTCATTTCACCAATTATTTGTAGCATACTTAACGTTAATACATTGTCTTGTGTAGATTTAAAGTACCAATATCTGGGTGCAGGCTTCTAATCAGTGTCTTTCAAATAATAACTTACTAATCCTAGTGTGTGGATTCATGATTGAAATACCTAGAAAATTAACTAAAGGGTCCTAAAACAAAGTTACTCCCATAAATATTATGTTATATATGCCAAAGTACTTTAAATTATAGACAATATAGCACTTTACACAAATTATCTCTTTACCAACCAATCTAGGGAGTAAGGCAGAAAAGGGTAAAGAGAGTTCCCACGGTTTTTCATATTTTTACACGAGAAGTTCAGAGGACAATACACATGCTATATATAAGACAAAGTCTATTAGGACAAAAAGTACATTTCACTAATTGTAAGCCTAGTGTTTTAATGGATTACTAAAGAACAAGAAGTTGGGCTGGGCGTGGGGGCTCACGCCTGTAATCCCAGCACTTTGGGAGGCCGAGGCAGGCGGATCACCAGGTCAGGAGATCTAGACCAACCTGGCTAACACGGTGAAACCCCGTCTCTACTAAAAATACAAAAAAATTAGCTGGGCGTGATGGCAGGTGCCTGTAGTCCCAGCTACTCAGGAGGCTGAGGCGGGAGAATGGCATGAACCCAGGAGGCGGAGCTTGCAGTGAGCCAAGATCGCACCACTGCACTCCAGACTCCAGCCTGGGCAACAGAGCGAGACTGTCTCAAAAAAAAAAAAAAAAAAGAAGTGAAAAAAAACCAAACATACTCTATATAATGGGAGGTAGAGAGCATGCTAGTTCAAACGGCAACACAAGGAAGCCTACGTTTGTCAAGGTTTTCCAGAAAAATAGAATTAATATCTTTATATGTGTTTTTTTTATACATACTATATATATTTATATTAAAATTGATTTTAAGGAATTGTCTCATATGACAGTAGGGACTAGCAAATCCAAAATCTGCAGGGTAGGCCTGCAGGCCAGAGACCCAGGAAAGAACTAATGTTGCAGTTCAAGTCCAAAGACAGTCTGCTGGCAGAATCCCCTCTTCTCTGATGGAAGTCAGTCTTCTTCTATGAAGGTCTTCAATGAATTTGATGAGGCCAATCCACGTTAAGGAAGGTAATCTGCTTTAGCCCACTGCTTTAAATGTTCATCTCATCTAAAAGATACTTCATAGACTCTAGAATAATGTTTACCCACATATCTGGGTACTGTGGCCTACCAACGTTGACCCATAAAATGAGTCATCACAAAGTCTTTCAAACAGGATATTCTCTGGCTGCAAAACTGAACTTTTTGGTATTTGACAAGGTAGTCAGGAATATGACTTCCTTACAAGTAAGTAGAAATAAGACCGCAGATTTACAACACCTACAAGTTACAGAGACACTTTTGACAAGTTAAAGCATTTCATAAGGATAATATCATTATTTCCATACTTAAACTCCTAGCTTAGAAAAGAAAAAGCCAACCTAGCTAGGACTGCAGTAGGAAAGAATATTGAGGGGAAACTGCATGGGGCCCACATGTAAGGCAGCGGTCAATGAGAACTTGTGCTGCCACACGCTGTGGGCTTGGCCAACTCACTGGGCCTTTCTGAGCTCAGGCTTTTATGTGCAAGAAGGTAGGATCGATTATGATACTGAGGCTGCTGGATTCTAGGGTCAATCGCGACTCTGAAACCTAATCAAAATTCTTATCACTATGTGTCTCTGATGACAAGTCTTCAACTATTCATACCTACATTTGATGGTAAGTTAACTAAAAGCATGAATTCTAAGTTGTGGCTTATTTATAGCAAGTTATCTGTTCCACGTTTTTTAATATTGCCACATAAATACACAATCCTATAGAGCATTTCAGGAATGGATAATCTGGGACCCATATTTCTATCTAGAAGATATTATTATGTTTTTTAGATAGTTAAGCTTTTAGTTAATTTTACCACTCTGCTAGTTTCATTCTCATATCTAAATCATCTAATAGGCATTATAAATGCCAAACCAAAACACTTAGTCTACTGCCCTCCACTAAATATAGGTCAGCAAGGCAGCTGAAACCCCTCTACCCAGGTAAAAGATAATATCCATAAGCTACTTTTGCAAGGAGAGGTTTCTGAGGGATACCCCATTTGAGAGCATTAACAGGCTGGATGCTCTCCTTAACAACCAAAAATCCACATAATGACTCAAACTCTGAATTCAGCAGTTAATGTACAAAAAGGAGGAAAAGGAAATGTAAAGATTAATACATGTAAAAATCATAAAAGTAAGTTTTTTCTTGCAAAACTACGGGAAAAAAAGAGAAAGTAAAGGTCAATTTATATTTGTTCATATAAATAGTAAGCTCACTTCTGTAATCCATGTGAGCTAGCCCAAAGAAAGGTAAACTAGTCTATTTATGAAGATGTTAGTGCCGCTAAGCAGTATTTCCAGTTCTCCTTCTGGGTAGAAAGGGTATTTTCTTTCTTTACCCTTTGTTGCCTTGGGGTGGGGCTATGTAAATAATTCTCGCCAATGGGTTCTGGGCAGTGGTGGTGTGTGTCACTTCTTGACTGAGCCATTTTACTGCGGAGGCAAGACCTTTCAGTGTTTTTTTCTTCTTATATTTCTGGAATCTGGAAAGTACGTATGATGGAAATGGACAAGTTTAAGTACCTTAGTGACTATACTGAATACAAGGAGCTTCCCTTTGACCTAACATGGACATGTAACATCAGTGAGAAGTAAACATCTGTTAGAAGATATTAGGATCATTTAGTAATGCAATATAAACTAGCCTATGTTAACCAGGCTACCATCTAAAAGAATCACTTGCTCACTATTACTATGGATTGCAAAGATCCTGTCTTGGTTTAAAAACACAAGATTTGGGGCCAAGAGATTAATATAACTAAGAACGTTTCACCTCATTTTAAGTGAAAACATTAATGACAATAAATCAGACAAAGAGGCCGGGCGCGGTGGCTCACGCCTGTAATCCCAGCACTTTGGGAGGCCGAGGCGGGCGGATCACGAGGTCAGGAGATCGAGACCATCCTGGCTAACACGGTGAAACCCCGTCTCTACTAAAAATACAAAAAATTAGCCGGGCGTGGTAGCGGGCGCCTGTAGTCCCAGCTACTCGGGAGGCTGAGGCAGGAGAATGGCGTGAACCCGGGAGGCGGAGCTTGCAGTGAGCCGAGATCCCGCCACTGCACTCCAGCCTGGGCGACAGAGCGAGACTCCGTCTCAAAAAAAAAAAAAAAAAAAAAAAAAATCAGACAAAGAACCTGGGGATGTGTCAAAAGCATTAATCTCAAGTCAAGGCCCTATTTTCTGTTCTTCTGCTCTAAGCCCAGTTCCAAAAGCCTAGGGGCCTCAGGAAGGGGACTGAATACCACCTTCCATCCAAGGTGGTCATAGATCTTCTTCCCAGCTTTTCCTCACACAAGGCTGTGGTAACCTAGGCATGGCTGCTTATAGTGGCATCCATCATATCTTCCATATTACCTACCTCTCATGTGTTTCTTCCCTTATGCAATACAAAGAGGGATAGTTTTCAGAATCAGTTCTTATCTAAGGACAAAAGAAGGCGTGAGCAAAATAGTCTTCAGAAGTATGTGGTAAAGATACTGGAAAACACAACTTACGCTGCTTACTAAGTCCTCTCAATTCATATCTCCATAGTATTCTTCTTATATTATTTGGAGTAAATTGTTGTATCCCCAACATATTCATATTCAAACATATACAAAAGTCCATGATAAAATCAAGTATGTATTTTTGTATTATCAATAGCACCAACCACCTCAAATACAGAGGATGCAAACTCTCTAAATTTTTAAATTATTTATTATTATTTTTAATAGAGACAGGGTCTTGCTATGTTGCCCAGGCTGGTCTCAAACTCCCGGGGTCAAACAATCCTCCCACCTCGGCCTCCGAAAGTGCTGGGATTACAGGCATGAGCCACCACGACTCCTCAAATTTAAAATAGCTACAGTTGACTTTGTGGAAAGTTTTACATATACATACATGCACACACATACACACACATGCATACACACACATATATAAGTAAAATATATATGTAACACATATATGAAAAGTTAAATTTTCATATATATGAAGATTTTTAGTGAAATAATATTTCAAGATAAGCAGAGTTTTATTAAGGTCACACATATAGAAATATTAATGAAATAAGATTAAGTCTCTTGCTTTTGACAACATAGAATTCAATCATAATTGGTACCATTTATTGGCAAATATGTGTTGTTAAAATACTTGAAAAGTATTTTTTTATTTTAATTTTCATTTTTATTCTAGTGAGACTGAATACTTTCAAGCAATGGTTGGTCTTTTTTCCATCTTCTATTTATGACTTACTGGTTACTATACATTATTTTTCATTGATTTTTAATAAATTTTAAGGTATAGTATTGCCTAGAAAAGCCTTAAAAATAAGTTCTTCCTGTAAAAATAGTTTATGCCATTAAAGTAATCAGGGAAAAAAATCCTTCATAAATGTAAACTTAGCTCATCCTGAATTTGGACAAATTCTAAGACAATTAAACCTAAATTAGCGAGTTTTTTAACAGAGAACTGGGAAATTCCACTGATGTTCATGTTTTCCTCAGTATTTTTCAATTTATTGTAAACAATTGAACTATCCATGAGAAATTAGCAATGTTCTCTTTCAGTTCAGCCAGAGTTTTAAACTGGAGACGTATGTTTTGCTAACTGACAACTGGTGGCCAGCATGAAATAAATTGGTGGCCTTGGTCCAGTTTCCACTGGACAGGTGTCCTCATCACAGAAACATTTAACTAATTAACCCAATTGGCAACCATTTGGGGGCAGTGGACAGTCTCCTAGATGAAATAACTTACTCCTCATTCCAAGAAGTAAACACTCTTTTACAGATGCAGCAAGTTAAGTTAGTAAATCAATTTTTGTTCTAGCATGTGTCTCAGCAGTTGGTCCTTCCTGCTTCTTTTACTACAACTGCCAGCACTGTGTTTCTAAAAGCCCATGGAGGAAAATTAGTCTAAATTGTCTAAATAAGAAAACAGATGGAGAGGACCAATACAAGGTGTATGTGTGTGCACACATGGTGAGATTACAGAGGGGAAATGGGGATAAGGGGATGCCGGGCACACCAAAGAGGGTTTGAGAGCTTCTCTTGAGCGTGAAAATGGAAAGTGAGACTTTTAAGCTTCTCCAGTACAGAAGTTTACACTCTCCCATGAAAATCCCCCAGGGGTGACTGGACCTCTGAATGGAAGGGAGAGTGGGGTAAAGAGTATCATGAAAAGCAAACATTAAACTCTGAGGTCTTGAGTACCTTGGGAAGAGTACCTCAAGCCCCAAATTTTACCTGGAAACAGAATGAAACAGCCTTGAAAGGAACTTAACTGTTCATTCAAGGAGGTCATCAGAAACAACTGCGGGCTAAAGTGAAAGGGGCTCTCAACACAAGGACCTCTGTAAAACTCCCAGGAACCGTACATACATTTACCCAGGGTGGTGGAAGAGAATGCCAAAACACGGATGAGGCCAAATAAGTGGGTGAGGATCTTAAGAAGGTTAACATTAGTGCAGAGGAAAAAAGGAATGTGATATAAAGTGGTGGGCAAACTAAAATGGATTCCTACTCCTTACATAAAAAAGGATGATGACCAGGCTCTTCACAGTACTATGATGGTCTTTTTTTTTTTTACATTTATTTTTTATTTATTTATTTTTATTCAGTCTCCATAAAGACTGCCAAAAAATGTTAATGCCGACTGTATTGTAAGTCCTCACAGCGGGATATTGGGAAAAGTCTTCAATTAGCTATAATCACGCCTAGGATAAACCTCATTTGCTGTGATACTGCCACTGCACAAAGCTATGGTGATCCTTCCATATGTCAACATGACTAGGCTACAATTCCCAGTTATTTAATCAAACATCAATCCAAGTGTCACTTTGAAGGTATTCTGTAGATGCGATTAAAGTTCAAAATCAGTTGACTTTAAGTAAGGGAAATTATCCTAAATAATCTGGGTGGGCCTCACTGAATCAGTTGAAAGGCCTGAAGAGCAGAGCTGAAGTTTCCTGACGATAAAAGAAATTCTGCCTGTGACAGCAGCTTCAACTTATGCTTGAGGCTTCCAGCCTCCCATCTTCACTGCCTGCCCTACAGATTTCAGACCTTCATAGCCAGACTCAACATATGCATAAACCAATTCCTGGTGGTAAATCTCTTAAAATGTTATCTTCTACTGGCGGTGCTTCTTTGGTTGACCCTGACTGATACACCAACAGTTCAACTCTTCCTCATAGAAAAGGTACAGTAATTTAGAGCAGTAGTTTTCAAAGTGCTGACTGTGACCTAAGGAGGTTGTGAATCAATCTAATAGGTCATGAAGAGCATTGAGAAAAGTAAAATTAAAAAGGATAGAATAGAAAAACATCAGCATTCATTATAAGTAGTAAGAGGACATATTGTACTTCAAAACTTTTGGTTTCAAATATACACATACGTATACACATATGTATGTATCATATCTCGATGTGAAATGGTTTTGATTTAGAGACTAAAAGAACAGTAGCACTTAAGAAATAGTGAAAAAGTCAAAGCAGGAAATACAGGTTTCTCAAACTACTGAGCCTGTGAATGCTGACTGCAGATACAGAAATTACACTTCATACTTTCTCTCTCTTTTGAGCCATTGATTCTTACTTCAAATCCTTATTAAGCACCAGCTCACTGGTTGGCACTATGCTCAGTATTGAAAATACCTTATGAGGCTAGACACGGTGGCTCACACCTGTAATCACAGCAATTTGGGAGGCCAAGGTGGGCGCATCACCTGAGATCAGGAGTTCAGGACCAGCCTGGCCAACATGGTGAAACCCCTTCTCTACTAAAAATACAAAAAAATTAGCTGGGCGTAGTGGCAGGTGCCTGTAATCCCAGCTACTCAGGAGGGTGAGGCAGGAGAATCGCTTGAATCTGGGAGGCGGTTGCAGTAAGACAAGATCGCACCACTGCACTCCAGACTGGGTGACAGGAAAAAAAAGGAAAAAAATAAAAACTTTATTAATCTCAGACCTGTCATTGTAACCAACATAAGGGCCGTAATAAAGGGATGTGGGCCATGCTATGGGAGCACACAGTAGAGACATCTAAACCTACCTGGGAAGAGAGGTGAGCAAGAAAGGATTTCCCAAGTGACCCCGAAAGCAAAGACTTCAGCCTGCAATGGTTAGCGTGAGCAAACATAAGGCGGGTTGGGGGTAGTATGTGTGGAAGGCATTCTGAGAAGAAGAGTAGCATGTGCAAGGTAGGAGTAAGACAGAAGAACCCAATAACAGGACAGGAAGTAAGCCAACATGGCCAAGGCTACATACAGCAGTGAATGAACAGGAAGAGATGGTAGAAAAATAGGTAGGGGAGCTCTGGGACACAGTTTTTGTGAGTAAAATCCACATGCCATGCAGAGTCCCTAAAAGCATTTGTCTTTCAGAGAATGGGAGTTTACAAAGAAGATTAGAGAGAACCAGCACTAAAAAGAAAGAGAGGAGCCAGAAGCTCTAGGAAACCTCTATCTTCAGTCCTTTTGGAGGACTCAGTGGGAGTCTAGGCCCTCTCAGAATACTAAGAGATTTTTCTCCAAGTGATCCTGGTGAGGGGGGCCAGTCATTTGTGCAACAGAAGAAGGAAGGCAAGAATATGATTGCACTGTCCTTGCAACAAGAGCAAAAAGAGGAAAGGCAGCATCAATCTCAGAAGGCCATGAGCAAACCAAGGTCCTGAGAACTAAAGTTCCCCCTGCAGAGTCAGTCAGGCACAAGAGGAACACATGAGGGAGAATGACAGCAACAAAAGCCCTTCCTTTGCCAAATACATGTTACATTTTTAGGGTGAAATTATGTAAAATATATGCATTGTAAAGGCCTATCTAAAATCCTGTATTTCCACAGTGTTCTGGTCTCATATAAAGAGAATTCATACTTGAGGTTTAGCACTATCTGTAAGAGTCAAATAATAAAACAAAGGTTGCACAATTTTCTACAATCTCAAACTGCTTCAAATGCTGATAGAGGTTTAAAAAAACTGTTTTAGCAAGCATTTCTAGCACTGAGACCTACACAGTACAACCAAAAATTTTAATTTCTGTAAAGGTCAGGAGTAAAATATGCTTAATTTTTAAACTCTTCAAGCTGAGGCCAGACATCACATGGTGGGAAAAAAAAACCTTCAAAACAAGATTGAAGCACAAACAACTAATTGTTAGGGAATGCATATATACATGAGGACACTGATGCTGTGGTACAAGGCTGAGCTTGTAAACCTAAGATTAGACTCACAAAAAATCTTTACTGCATTCTGGGCAGCTGTGATCCATGTTAAAAAATAATCATGTTACCCTGAAAAAGCAGGAAAGACTCCATTTCCTTACAGATTGTCCCTTCCATTTAGACTTCTCCAGGAACTGCAGTCATATGTAATTGACCAATTCTGGATCATGACTGAAAATGTCAATATACAGCTAAATCTACAAATGGTATCTGTCTCATGTTCCCCTTACTTATTGGAAAAACTCAGAGGGTGGAAATCCTTTACAGGAAACAAGATAATCAACTATCTTTGTTAAAACATGTCGAGGACAGTGTTATCTCATTATTCTTAGTGTTTTTGAAGTAAAAGCTGCCATCACTTCCGTTAGTATAGGATTAATGGTCAAATCTGGGGATCACTGACCTTGAATCACACTAACTTTGACCTCATGTATCTTTTAATAGAACTGATGGTTTTGTAAATAGGCTTCTTAAATCAGTTGTCACCACAGCCTCAGAAACCATCCACATAAAAGAACACACTAGAAAAACTGGTAATTTCTTTATTAAAATAAATAGGTGAATGCTCTGTAAGCAAAAAATCAAATGCAGCAATCATCTGTACCTCCTACCTGGGTTCCTGATTCTGTATAGACAGTTCATACTTCTGGACCAGTTAGGTGACTTGATAGCACCTCAGATTTAAAGTACCCCAAAGCAAAATTATAGTGTCTCCCATTCTGTCTTCTGTAAGGTTTCTCATGTTTGAGGACAACAGGATCCTTTTGGCCACAGGGGCTTGAAAGGGCAGTCAATCACACAACCAAACTTCCTCTTCTCCTCCTACACACCCACATGAAATCAGTAAAAATCGCCTTTTGTTCCTTTTTTTTTTTTTTTTTTTTTTTTTTGAGACGCAGTCTCCCTCTGTCGCCCAGGCTGGAGTGCAGTGGTGTGATCTCAGCTCATTGGAACCTCTGCCTCCCAGGTTCAAGCGATTCTCCTGCCTCAGCCTCCCAAGTAGCTGGGATTACAGGCGCATGCCACCATGCCCGGCTAATTTTTGTATTTTTAGTAGAGACAGAATTTCACCATGTTAGCCAGGCTGGTCTCAAACTCCTGACCTCAAATGATCCACGTGCCTTGGCCTCCCAAAGTGCTGGGATTACAGGTGTGAGCCACCATGCCCAGCCTGTTTCTATCTTTAAAAGGATTCTTGTTCTACTCACTCCTTCCTATTCCCTCTGCACACTAAGATTCCTAATAAGTTATCCTGCAACTTATGATACACCACATCTAGGTGCCATTCCTAAAGCGTGGCTCTAATCACATCACTGTGGGTCAGGAAACAGCACTGGAAGACGGGATGGAGTAGAGTGACAGAGGAGAGAGAATGAATTTACGAATGATTTTACATTTCTTTTGTATACTTTTTTGTACTTTCCAAATTCTGTATAATGAGCAAGTATTACTTTCTAATGGAGATGGAGAAGGGCATAAAAAGTCCTCCTAAGTTTCTCCATATTACCTGGAGAATATAGTTCAAACATGCAGAAAGACATCCAAAGTCTTCTAAGATCTGGCTCCAGCATACATGGCCAGCCTTCACTTAGCACTACTCTTCCTTTCACTCATCCTATCATCCAAAAATTGTTACTATTTTGTTATATGTTTGCTAAGCTTTCTTTCATATTTGTTGGTCTCTCCTATAGATTTATTACATTATGCTATATATTGTATTTATCTGTGACTACAGTTTTTATTCAAATAAATCAGCCGCTTTGGAGTGAGGCAGAGTCTTATCTTTCTATCACTTAATGTTCACAGTACAATGTTTTAGAAGCAATGTGTCTTTAATAATTGTCAGTGAAACATTTAAGGTTGGTGCCTTAAATCAGAACCACTTCTGAACAAAAGAAAAGTGACCTGTGAGAGGCAAAAACTCACAAAAGGATAATAATAAAATTTATAACTTCAAAACAAAGAAGTCTTATGCATAGTTCAGGCTGTATTCTAGAAGACATGACTTAATAACATAGATGTAATGTTTATGTCAGGAATCAAGTATTACCAAAAAAGGAACATTTGTTAATATTACCAAAATTAATTTTTGTATCATATGGTAGACAATATAAAAAAAGACTTCTCTCCTTTTGATGGGTAGGTTTTTCCTGGCAAAAAATTTTATAATGTTTCCATTTTTTGATCATTTTAATGTGACTAAGTAGAGAATCTAGTTTGGAAGAACTCATAATTTACTTTTCAAATGTATTTTGAAATGCTAAAATAAAATTGTATTAGAAATGCTACAGTCAAGGGTAATTAGCTTTACTGTTGTGGATGAAATTGTATTATTTGGGTCCTCAGGTTGAAATACAGAGCCGGCAGGAAGAATTAAAATGCTTACAAGTATTTCAATTGTTGCTGGAGAATGGATTTAAATATGTAAATATATAAAAGTGGTTGGCTCCCTTTGCAGCCTTGAGTGCAGCACCTATCTTTAGGTGATGTAGGGTCAATTAGGGCTTTAATGTCCCACAACTGTGGCAGATTTGCTGATTAAAATATAGCAGTCACTTTTACAGTTTTGCATTCTAGTCATGGTGGTCTATCCTGAGAAAGTCTATCTGTTGGTGCCTGTCCTCTCCCGAGCCAAAAAAACAAAACAAAATAAAACAAAACATCATCCCATGTATAAGAACTCAAGTCTACCAAAACCTGTTGGCATGGCATGTCATCTCCACCTGCCATATTGATATCGGGAAGGTAAATACATATGCCATATGTCTTAAACAAAAGTGTAGTTGCACTCAAATGTCCATTTGCTTCTTACAAGTCACCCTGACATAGACAAAGCAATTATAGCAACACAGTTTAATACAGGAGAGAATTAAGCCTCACTCTCTCACTTTGGAAGAAACCAAAACCTCTTCCAAATTATAGGTCTCAATTTCTTGAATATCTTGGAACTTTCCTATGACAATATCCTCCAATATTAGATGACTATCCTCTTGTCTAGAACACCTGTAGTCCTTTCGTACTTATATGCCGCATTTCATTTGTTAATGCTATTTTCTTGTTTAAATCTGCCATCTTCAGCACAGGACTAGTGTCTTACTTCCACTGTATCTCCAAAATTTGGCATTGTGCCTGACAGAGGATCTACTCAACAGGTGCTTACAGGGAGTCTGCCTGATAAAAGCAGTTCTTTTGGAAGTTCTGTAACTCCCTTTAATATGTACTTCATTCATTCATTCAAACAGCTGTTCAAGATTTCAGATAAGCTGACAACATGAGCAAAGGAATCTTTTTCACTGTCTGGTCCACCCTGCTGGCTTCCACTGTAAGCACTGGTATTTAGGGCATCCAAGATTCTGGCAGCAGCTAAAGTTGGCATAAAAATGCAACACAGAGAACTAGTCTTTAATCAAAAAAAAAAAAAAAGCGTGTAGTATAAGATACAGACAAGAAAAAGCTGCTCCTCTGATGGCTGTGCCTGTTCCAGTGCTGGCTCTCTTTCCACTCCTTTCTCACTAAATATAATGTAAAAGTATATCCATCAGCTGTCATCATAAGAATTGAAAAGATTTTAACAGTGACTATTGGGTGGTCAGTGAGATTGTATCCACTCTGTTTACAGGCAAATAGCAGACTTGAATGGCGTTTTCCTTCAATTCTGTTCAAAAATGCCTAAAGAGAGAAATAACAGGTAGGTGATAATGAGGAGGTGAGGAAAAGGAGAAGTGCAGCTACCATCGAGTGATTCTTCTGGGATAGGTGTCTCATTTAAATCTCATAATCATCTTTTTTGGCAGGTCAGTCAACTTCAGGCTCACAGATGACAGACAGTTGGCCCAAAGACACACAGGAAATACATAAGTGACAACGAAATACAAGTCCATGAATTAAAAAACCATGCTTTTCTCTCCTTGCCACACAGCTTTAGTTTGAAAAAAAAAAAAAAGCATTATTAACGCACCAAATGCCAAAACTAAAATAAGCACCCCTACATAGAATAAACAACACATGCCCTGCCCCCACAACTGCAAAGGGCCATAAATTGAAGGGGGTAGAGATTCAAACTTACTAGTAACTAAAGAAATGCAAATTAAATTACATAAGTAATTTTTCATCTACAAAGATTTAAGGCTGGTCATGGTGGCTCACGCCTGTAATCCCAGCACTTTGGGAGGCCAAGACGGGCAGATCACTTGAGGTCAGGAGTTCAAGACCAGCCTAGCCAACATAGCAAAACCCCATCTCTACTAAAAATACAAAAATTAGCTGGGCGTGGTGTCATGTGCTTATAATCCCAGCTACTTGGGAGACTGAGGCAGAGGAATCACTTGAACTCTGTAGGCAGAGGTTGCGGTGAGGTGAGATTGTGCCACTGCACTCCAGCCTGGGTGACAGAGCAAGACTCTGTCTCAAAAAAAAAAAAAAAAAAAAAAAAGAGTTAAAACAAGGCAAAGAGACAGACCAACTCACTCTAATACACTGTGAATAAAATTTTAACAGGCATAACTTTCTGGGGGACAAAAATATTGAAAACTTTAGTATAAGCTGACCTAACAGATTCTAACAGTTTAATGAAATCACAGATATACAGAAATATTTCTGCACACTGACATTAATCACAACATTACTTTAAAAAGTAAAAAAAATCAAGTCCAACAGAACTTAAAGAAGAAAATAAAAATTTAAAAGAGGAAAAACTTGGAAGCCATCTAAATGTCAAAAAGGAAGGGTTAAAGAAGTGGTACATTGATATGATGGAATATACTGATTCTTATAGATGTATCCTAAAAATCATGCTCTATAAGGTTATTCAGTGACACAGAAAATATTCAAATATTTGGTATGTGAAAAGATTATAAAACTACATCAGTATGTACATACATGATCCCAATTATGTAAATACATATAGACATCATAATTTCTGGATGCTAAGATTATGAATGATTTTTTTCTTTTTCTTTTTTTGAGATGGAGTCTCACTCTGTTGCCGAGGCTGGAGTACAGTGGGGTGATCTCAGCTTACTGTAACCTCTGGCTCCTGGGTTCAAGCGAGTCTCCTGCCTTAGCCTCCCAAGTAGCTGGGATTATATGTGCACACCACCACACCTGGCTAATTTGTGCATTTTTAGTAGAGATGGTGTTTCACTATGTTGACCAGGCTGGTCAGAAACTCCAGACCTCAGGTGATCTGCCTACCTTGGCCTCCAAAGTGCTGAGATTACAGGCTTGAGCCATCGTGCCTGGCTGATTTTTTATTTTCTTTATAGTTTTCTGGATTATTAAAATATAGAGCTTTGGTAAATGTTATCTTAAAAACGCTCATTACAAAACCATGAATGATCAATGGGCATAAGTCTTTCCATACACTATAAAAGCAAATTTGTCTATATATTAACTTAAAATATATGTTAATAGCACTTCCAGTGTTCATTTACTTAGTGATAACTGATGTTTACAATGATGAGACTATGATACAAAAAGACCTTGTATTCTATAAATTTCAAATGCAAAATAAAATCAGGCGTTTTTTTTTAATAAGCTTGTATTTGCCAGGCAGTAAACTGAAACTATGCTTTGCAGTTAAGCTGTCATTCACCCCTCAAAAAAAGGATTAGTGAGTGTTGACCTTAAATACTAAAAACCACCAAAGACTTGATCCTTAATAACAAAGGGAATCTAAGATCTCACTTCCCATTTAAGACAGCTTAGTTACTGGGACACTTTGATTTTAATTCTCAGACTATGTTATAGGAAAGTCCACTGTACTTTATCTTCTTTCAGACATTTGGCTGAGGGTCTGGAAAACTACTGCTCATGCTGAGAAACATAATAATAATAATACCATGCTTCAGTTGAAATTTCCTGAGCTTAGTTCACAATGGCTTTTTTAGTATGTGTGTTTGTGTGGAATAATCTGTCATATGACAACAGAAGAACTAGTTCCCTGAGTTACATCTATAGATGGTTCTAGCATATTGATTAGTCTAAAGAATAAAACTTTATGTAAAACTCAGTAATATTATAAGTTAGTTTAATTCAGAAAAAAAAAAACGAGCTTCTAAAATATACAGTTGCAGAATGTTATAACCCAATGGGAGCTGAGCAATTACCTAAGTAGGGATGAAAAGAACCACAAGGCATGGGACTCCGCTCCCTGTGGTGGATTATCCAGGTGAAGAATGTGAGGCAAGTGCAGCCATCTTCCCAGAATCTCCAAAGCAGTTAACTATGAGATCAATTTAAGGGAAGGACAAAAGAAACGTATTTGCCATATCTGGTCTAATCTTATTTTAGATTCAAGGAAAGAAGTACACATTCACACAGCTATTCAAAGCTTATGTTAGAAAAAAATTCCAGATACAGAGTATTCTTGATATATCTACCTTGTATTCTTTCAGAATGGTTCTCTATAAAAAAGACAAGCAGCAAAATGAGTCCTTTCACATGAAAGAGATGGAGCCCTCTTGTATTCCAATTTGGATGCTGCAGTTACACCTCACATATAAATTGTATGCATTAAAAAGCATTTGAAAAGAAATGTGTAAAAGTGGTAGTAGTCATTGTAAAGTAGCTGGAGTACTAATTTGCTTTATTGTGTTTAAGATTCTCATATTTTGGTTTTCTATATAAGAAAATAGAAATGAGAAATTTCACTTAATTTTCTATTGAAAAAGCAATGCATTAGCATTCCTACTTATAAATAGACGTTGGCATGGTGACTCAGAAGATCTGCTCTTCCACTTGTGTTATCTTAAGTAAGTTGACCTTTTTAGGCCCACATCTTCCTCATCTGTAAAAACGAGGGGAGTTAAGTAAATGATCTCCAAGATCACGTTCAGCTTTGAAATTCCAAAACTGTACCTACAATAAACCTGCTATTTGAGAGTAGCAAATTATCACTGCATTAATGTTTTCCAGTCTCAGCAGTAAATACTGACTAAAAGACAAGCAATCACCTTTTCCCAGCTTTATTTTTCAAGGGAAGAGATATCCATTAGTGTATGCCTCCAGGTCCTCCCACTTACTCACATCACCCCAGGCAAAAGTGATTTACTTGTCTGGCTGGTCCCTTAGGTACAAGAAACTGGGCCTGTGTAACAACCTCCTACCTAGTATTTAACTGGATACTTTGATCTCTACAGCTCTAACTTTTGTCTTACCTCTCAAGTAGTTCAGAATTAGTCAGAGAAAAAAAATATTGTTCAATAGGCTTCTCGAACTTCCAACTTCCAAAACAATATTCAGTTAACACAAGCATTTGCAATCACGGGTGTGATTTTTCCTCTACTATCTTTAAACTGCCCTGATTGCATGGTGGTTTTCCCAGTGCCATGAACTTCAGTGAAACTTTCCAAATTCAATGTTAGAAAGCACATAATACTGAACACCATGGTCCTTTAAAAAAAAAATGGAGTCTCCTATAAGGGTACCACCATATATTTTAAATCAGAGGTTGAGGTCCAATATATTCCACCTTCTTTAAAAGCTTGAGTTTCTTTCCTCTTCTCCCAGGTGATGAATGCTCTTCTCATTGATAAATTATATTGACTATTACATCCCAATTCTCAGCTACTACTCAAGTACCACTCTAATCATACCAAATTGTTTATTAGGATTCTACTCTGATTAAAGAGCCAACATTTCTTTTTCTTGGTTTCAATTTTTAAACCCTCCAAGAGCTTCTTATAAGCCACAGAATAAAGCTCAAACAATATAGTGTATCTTGCAAGATTTTATTTTTTAAAATTCTTATTTCCCATCTTCTCTCTGACACACTCTTACTGGTATCTCCAGAAATCTCAAGATCTCAAGCTACTTAAAGTGAACAGAATTCCCTTTCATGATTCCTTTTTTTTTTTTTCTCTCTCTCTTTTTTTTGAGATGGAGTCTCACTCTGTCACCTAGGCTGGAGTGCAGTGGCACGATCTCGGCTCACTGCAACCTCTGCCGCCCAGGATCAAGAGATTTTCCTGCTTCTGCCTCCTGAGTAGCTGGGATTACAGACGCCTGCCACCGCACCCAGCTAATTTTTGTAGTTTTAGTAGAGACAAGGTTTCACCATCTTGGCTAGGCTGGTCTTGAACTCCTGACCTCGTGATCTACTCGCCTCGACCTCCCAAAGTGCTGGGATTAAAGGCGTGAGCCAGCGGCACCCGGCCCATGATTCTTCTTATCCATCCAAAAAACTACTTATCCTTCAAGGTTAAATGTAGACATCTATCCTTTTACTATCAATATTTCATCATGTTTCACTTTTTCCCCATCAGAGGGAGTTCTTCAAGCATTACGCCCATGACCCAGCAAAAACACTGACCCATATTAGAGATTCCATAGTACTGTGAATGAAGAAAATTTACTTTATTTGTAGTTTAAAATTATAGAGACTAATACTTCTAGTAAGCTACAATTCTTAAAACTGAAGTATTTATCTTTATATAAAACATTGAGACTATTTGATTAGAGAAAGAGAAATCTAAAACGGGTTAGCAATTCTCATGAGATAAAAGTAAACATCTGAGTGCTATACACCCATATCTAAATTATGTTTATTTCTGTGTCTTAAAGAGTGAGAAACTATTACAGAAGGCAGATTCACAATCGTAGCGCAACTACACTAAGTGTGTTAGGTGGCTTCTCAGAATGAAATTACCATAATTTGAACACTCAGTAAAATGGGTCAGCCTTATGCTTTTGGCTTTCTCTCTCTCTTTCTTTTTTTTAGAAAATCCATCTTTTATTTACTTGTCTTATTTTTTGAGACAGTGTCTCACTATGTTGCTCAGGCTGGTCTCAAACTCCAGGGCTGGAGAGATCCTCCCTCCTCAGCCTCCCAAAGTGCTAGGATTACAGGTGTGAGCCACTTGCTCCCGACCTAAACTCTCTTTTCTGAACCAAAATAGCATTTTCATGAATTTCACTGACTTCTTGTCTAAACTAGCAACTACTTTATAAGTTATGTTCACTATCTTCCTTGATGTGATTTTCACTGATCTTGGACTAAATTTCAAATATGAGTGCTACATGCCCCCTTTTGAGTCTCCAAATTTTAGTATACATATTTTATCAGTGAAGTGCAGTAGAAAAGAATAAAAGTAAACAAAAGAGTGCTTGGCCTAGTGCAGCAAAACTAGGAGTAGGTTTTAAGAAAAACCTTTATTCCCTGTTTCCCCATTCTAGAATTTAGAACTGACTACAAAGTCCCCTTAGTTAGTAATCAACAAACTCTATAGCTGTAAATGTTGCAAGGAAATTCAAGATATTTTGGCAATAAAAAGGCAACAGACTAAAACATCATTTGCCAAGTTAAGATTCTTCTCCAAATCTTTTTCAGGTAAAACACTTATTTATATTTGTGTCAAAATTTATAACACAGTCACCCCAAATCTTTTTTAGGTAAAATGCTTACTTATATTTGTGTCAAAGTTTATGACACAATCACCCTGTTTTGATTTAAACTACCTATAAAATATGTGTTAAGACATAAAAATCCTAAACTAAAATTCCCTAATGTTTTGTTGTAAAAATAAAAACCACTTCTACAATGTGTAGAGCAATATGTACTACAGTCTATTTTAAAACTATTCTAACATAAGATGTTAACAATTGAGGAAACTGGGTGTGGAGTATATAGGAATTCTCTGTACTATCTTTGCAGGTTTCCTACAAATTTAGAACTATTTTAAATTTTAATATTATTTTGGAAAAAATTTGGGGGAGAGGAATTGGTTACTTACATAAAATAAAATAAATTTAAAAAAAGAAAAAAAACACATTAAATTATATCCCTACCTCACGTCATACAGAAAATAAATTCCAAGTGGATTAGTGTATTGAAGACAAACTGAAAAGCAAACTCTTAAAACCTTTAGATGAAATTACACAAGAAAATGTTTATGGTCTTAGGAAGATTTTTAAAACAAAAAGAAATCAAACATTAACCATTATGATAGTATTAAAATTTAAAACTCCTGTATTATAAGGAAACATATACCAAGTGAAAATACAAGTTATAAACTGAGAGAATATACTAATAAAATGCTATTCACAATGTATTTTTGGGCTGGGTGCAGTGGCTCATGCCTGTAATCTCAGCACTTTGGGAGGCCAAGGCAGGTGGATCACTTGAGGTCAGGAGTTGGAGACCAGCCTGGCCAATATGGCGAAACCCCGTCACTACTAAAAATACAAAAATTAGCCAGGCATTGTGGTGAGCATCTGTAATCCCAGCTACTCAGGAAGCTGAGGCAGGAGAATCGCTTGAACCCAGCAGGCGGAGGTTGCAGTGAGCCGAGATCGTGCCACTGTACTCAGCCTGGGTGACAGAGCAAGACTCAAAAAAAAAAAAAAAAAACCAAAAATTTTTTTTTCTTTTTTGCTGAGCGCAGTGGCTCATGCCTATAATCCTAGCGCTCTGAGAGGCCGAGATGGGAGAATCGCTAAGTCCAGAAGTTTGGGTTAGCCTGGGCGACACAGTGGGATCTCATCTCTTGTTTTCCTCTTTTTATGAGACAGCTCTCAAATTCATATAAATAAGAGAAATAAAAATCAAACAAAAAAATGGGGCTAAGATATAAACACATCATTCACAGAAAAGGAAAATCTAATGGTTAATAAACACATGACATAGGGTCCTACTTTACTAGTAATAGGCAATATAAATTAAAACACTGAATTCCATTTTACATCCATTGGAGAGGCCGAGTATGGGTGAGAATGTGGAAAAACAGGAACTAGTAAATCATGTGAGGGTGGGTATGGCCCAGTGATAAGTAATGTGACAACAGACACTAACGGTAAAGATACATATACGAACCTAAAACCTGGCTAGTTCACATGGAGACACACAACACAGAGAAACACTTGCTCATGTGCCTATGTAAACGTGCACAAGGATACTCACTGCAGCATGGTTTGCGATGGTGATGAATTATAAACAATCTTAATGTCCATAACAAGAAAATGATTACAAATTCTGTACTATTCATACAATAGAATACATGTACTAACTATATAGATTACAACTAAGTGGGCTATGGCTCATGTATCAATAAAGACACATCTCAAAATAAAAAAATTCAACAAAGTATATTTATCTGACACCATTTATAACAAGTACAATATGTTGTAAAAGAATATAAAATGCTTGGTAACTAAAAGCACCAAATTCAAAAGAGTGATTACTTCTGGGAAGGGCTACAAAACGATTTTATATTAGGGAGTGAACACTGTGGAAATCTAAGTCTGTAATATTATATTTCTTTAAATAGAAAAATACAAAGCAAGCATGAAAAAAATTAAAATTTTACAAAGCTAAATGGTGGGTACCCAAGTTGTCATACTATATGTTCTATGTTCAAAATCCTTTATAATAAAAATGTGTAAAGATAAAACTTGGCAAAAATAATTTCTTAGTGACGTTTAGCCTATTTTTTCAAGATTTCACTATTAAAGTTAATTTTTATTTCATCATGTCCTTCTAAGTTCTCTGCCCTTAGGTATATCATCCTTATGTAAATAGCAACAGACTGACTTCTCTGTCTACATCCAATAACTCAGAATTTTTCCCTAAACTTTTCTTTCAACATGGGCATTAAATTTTGTGTTAGCTCACTGGTAAGTGGTAACACATTGTTCTTTTCTATTTTAATAAACTGATGCCTATGGCATATACATGCTATCTAAGTATGAACAATTTTTTAAGAACTTTAAAAAGATGTCTTTGCCTTGTTTTCTAGCATACAATATTCCTGATAAGAAATCTGCTGTCGTCTTTATTTTTATTCCTTTCTGTGCAATGTTCCCTTTGTCTCTGGCTACTTTCAAAATTTCTCATATTCACTGATTTTAAGCAATGTGATTATGATTGCAACTTGGTGTAGTTTTCATTTTTCTTGTGGTTGGGTTCATTGAACTCCTTGGATCTGTGAACTTAGTGTTTTCACCCAATTCAGCAATTTTTCAGCATTATTTCTTCAAATATTTTTTCATCCCTCATCTACTTTTTGGAACCCAATTACAAATATATTTCTTGCTGCTGTTTTATTGTGGAGGTGGTTGAGATTGTTTGTTTAGAGACTTCTACACTAAAGTCTATATTCCCTGTGGTACGGAGCCTCCGAAATCTCTGCTTGATTAGCTTAGCAGTTAGCTAAGCTGGAACGACCTGGAACCACCTGGAACCACTATGTTTCCTAGTCTTTGCAGCAGAGCTCTGAAGTGTTAAGGTACACTTTTGACAAAGTTCAAGACATGCTACCCCAAAATATGGCACCTTGGAAGTTGAGGAAACAGCAGAAGCAAGAGGCCACTTGAACCTTCCCCTCCTCACATTCCTCCCTGAAACAGGCCATAAGACCTAGGTTACTGTGTAACCTTCTCCCTCCCTTCTCCCTTGAAGAATGTAATGTGACAGGTGTCTTGCCCTATACCGGGGGCAAGGAATGTCACACAGGGACAAGAAGAAGAATCTGAAAAAACAGACATTGCCAAGTTCCCCTAGTTTATTATCATTAGATCATACCCTTTTGTCCTCCAATCATAGTTCTGCATGACTGTCCATAAAAATACACAGATTTACCTGTTTCTCTGGGTCTTCATTCCTGAAGGCTCCTATATCACATAAAATATATACAAAATATATATGCTTTTCTCTTGTTAATATGTCTTTTGTTATGGGACCACAGCCATGAACCTTGCAATGGGTGAGAAAAGAAATCCCGGCTGGGCGCAGTGGCTCACGCCTGTAATCCCAGCACTTTGGGAGGCCGAGGTGGGCGGATCATGAGGTCAGGAGATTGAGACCATCCTGGCTAACACGGTGAAACCCCGTCTCTTCTAAAAATACAAAAAATTAGCCGGGCGTGGTGGTGGGCGCCTGTAGTCCCAGCTACTTGGGAGGCTGAGGCAGGAGAATGGCGTGAACCCAGGAGGTGGAGCTTGCAGTGAGCCGAGTTCGCCTGGGCAACAGAGCAAGACTCCGTCTCAAAAAAAAAAAAAAAAAAAAAAAGAAATCCCTTCCACCCTACACTTTTTTTCTTTTTTAAGAGACAGGATCACCCAGGCTGGGGTGCAGTGGCATGATCATAGCTCACTGTAGCCTCAAAATCCAGGGCTCAAGCCATCCTCCCACCTCAGCCTCCCAGGTAGCTGGAATTACAGGCACACGCCCCCATGCCATGCTCATTTTAAATTTTTTTGTAGAGACAGTGTCTCGCTATGTTGCCCAGGCTGGTCTCCCACTCCAAGCCTCTAGCAGTTCTCCTGACTTGGCCTCCCAAAGTGCTGGGATTACAGGAATCACCCATCACACCAGGTCTCTACCCTCTACACTTTAAATGTGCACCAGGCAGCAGACAACTCTGCCTTAGCCTCCACTTCTGGCTTACACAGAGCCTCAAGGTCAGCCTAAGGTGAGGGCCTTCTTAGGTATTTTCCGAGCATGCTCACAGCTCTACACATGCATGTAAGTCTTCTGAATTCCCAAGAATGTGTCAGAACTTCCTTCAAACCTCATATGAACATCTAATTCCCCAGCTTCTCCTATTAAGTTTTTTGGTTAGCCCTATTTTTCGTTTTAACTGCTATCTACTAGTAAGACAGCAGAAACGTAAAGCAAGTATTTATGACAAACACCCCTCTTTCACACCTCGCCCCAAAAAAACAACGTGTTAGCACTGAGTCAGGTCAAATAAAAATAATCTTTGTGAGTGGGGTTATCCAGACAATCACCACACAGGTCAAACAATGACAATTCAATGAAAATGGGATTTCTAAGGCAATCCAATACTATAAGCCCCCTGAAGTGGCTGCCAAGGTGGTGGTTTTCACCGTGATTTCAGGCTGTTGGTTTCAAGGCTATCATGGCACTGGGAAGTTTGTTGGGGGCAGGGGAGAAGGTAAAGGTAATAGAGCAAATTAAAATCCCACTAAATTTGCTGTTCTTACAGAGCTTATGGTCATTTTCCTTAAATGCTTCATAATTGTAGCAAGACTTTGGTTAATTTCCAAAATTCTGAAAAAAGGTGACTGACCATTTTGCCAGTATTGCTTTTATGAAGAGGAGCATTTCCAGAGTGCCTTATCCCACCATTCCCGCTGATGTCACTACATATTTGGCCACTTAAGTTACCTCATGGTTTACTAATGCACCTTTCAGGGAGTTCCTCCCCAGTCATTTTTATTCTCTCTGTTTAATTTTGGAAAGTTTCTATAGCTGTATCTTAAATTTCACTTACCTTCATTTGTTCACTGTCTAATGCACAGTTAATTCCATCCAGTACATTTTTCATCTCATTTTTCATTATAGTGCTTATCTCTAGAAGTTTGATTTGGACCTTTTTCATAGTTTCCATATCTCTTCCTAATACGTTTTTCTCTAGCACCTCAAAACATATGGAACACAGTTAAAATAACTATTTTAATATTCTTGTATACTAATTCTTCCATTTATGTCATTTCAGGGTCAATTTTGATTGATTTTTCTCCTTGTTATGCTCTTTTTAAAGTCCCTGCCTCTTTGCATGCCTGGAAATTTCTGAATGAATGTGAAATATTGTGAATTTTACCCTGTTACTGCTGGCTATTTTTGTGTTTCTACAAATATCCTTAAGCTTTTTTTTCTGGGATGTGGTTAAATTATGCAGAAAGTTTGATCCATTCAGGTCTTGATTTTAAGCTTTGTTAGGAATAGATGAAGCTACATACCCTTCTGAATTAATTGATTCTAGTCTTATTCTTTGTCTTTGAGCTTTTTCTCAACTCTTTGTAAACAATAGTTAACAAGCAGATATGTAAATTGACCTGCCTGATAATGTTTTAATTGACATCTTACCCCATATGGAAAAATAGTTTTGTTCCATGTGCAAGTCATCTGGACATTTCTTTATCTCATATAAATCTCTGCTGTTTTGACTTTCTCTGAACCTGTTATAACATCTACTTCGTTCTGTAGGAAACCAGAATATGCCACCCAAAAATATGACTGTAGGAGACCAGAATGCCACCCTAAAACATGCCTCTTTTGCATATTGATTATTTTGAGAAACAGCGGACACATGAGAAGCTCTAAAAACAGAGTAGAAGTATAGTTTGAAGTCAGGTAGCGTGATGCCTCCAGCTTTGTTCTTTTGGCTTAGGATTGACTTGGCGATGCGGGCTCTTTTTTGGTTCCATATGAACTTTAAAGTAGTTTTTTCCAATTCTGTGAAGAAAGTCATTGGTAGTTTGATGGAGATGGCATTGAATCTATAAATTACCTTGGGCAGTATGGCCATTTTCATGATATTGATTCTTCCTACCCATGAGCATGGAATGTTCTTCCATTTCTTTGTATCCTCTTTTATTTCACTGAGCAGTGGTTTGTAGTTCTCCTTGAAGAGGTCCTTCACGTCCCTTGTAAGTTGGATTCCTAGGTATTTTATTCTCTTTGAAGCAATTGTGAATGGGAGTTCACTCATGATTTGGCTCTCTGTTTGTCTGTTATTGGTGTATAAGAATGCTTGTGATTTTTGCACATTGATTTTGTATCCTGAGACTTTGCTGAAGTTGCTTATCAGCTTAAGGAGATTTTGGGCTAAGACAATGGGGGTTTTCTAGCTATACAATCATGTCATCTGCAAACAGGGACAATTTGACTTCCTCTTTTCCTAATTGAATGCCCTTTATTTCCTTCTCCTGCCTAATTGCCCTGGCCAGAACTTCCAACACTATGTTGAATAGGAGTGGTGAGAGAGGGCATCCCTGTCTTGTGCCAGTTTTCAAAGGAAATGCTTCCAGTTTTTGCCCATTCAGTATGATATTGGCTGTGGGTTTGTCATAGATAGCTCTTATTATTTTGAGATACGTCCCATCAATACCTAATTTATTGAGTTTTTAGCATGAAGCGTTGTTGAATTTTGTCAAAGGCCTTTTCTGCATCTATTGAGATAATCATGCGGTTTTTGTCTTTGGTTCTGTTTATATGCCGGATTACATTTATTGATTTGCATATATTGAACCAGCCTTGCATCCCAGGGATGAAGCCCACTTGATCATGGTGGATAAGCCTTTTGATGTGCTGCTGGATTCAGTTTGCCAGTATTTTATTGAGGATTTTTGGATCAATGTTCATCAAGGATATTGGTCTAAAATTCTCTTTTTTGGTTGTGTCTCTGCCCGGCTTTGGTATCAGGATGATGCTGGCCTCATAAAATGAGTTAGGGAGGATTCCCTCTTTTTCTATTGATTGGAATAGTTTCAGAAGGAATGGTACCAGTTCCTCCTTGTACCTCTGGTAGAATTCGGCTGTGAATCCATCTGGTCCTGGACTCTTTTTGGTTGGTAAGCTATTGATTATTGCCACAATTTCAGAGCCTGTTATTGGTCTATTCAGAGAGTCAACTTCTACCAGGCTACAGTAACCAAAACAGCATGGTACTGGTACCAAAACAGAGATATAGATCAATGGAACAGAACAGAGCCCTCAGAAATAATGCCGCATATCTACAACTATCTGATCTTTGACAAACCTGAGAAAAACAAGAAATGGGGAAAGGATTCCCTATTTAATAAATGGTGCTAGGAAAACTGGCTAGCCATATGTAGAAAGCTGAAACTGGATCCCTTCCTTACACCTTATACAAAAATTAATTCAAGACGGATTAAAGACTTAAACGTTAGACCTAAAACCATAAATACGCTAGAAGAAAACCTAGGCATTACCATTCAGGACATAGGCATGGGCAAGGACTTCATGTCCAAAACACCAAAAGCAATGGCAACAAAAGCCAAAATTGACAAATGGGATCTCATTAAACTAAAGAGCTTCTGCACAGCAAAAGAAACTACCATCAGAGTGAACAGGCAACCTACAAAATGGGAGAAAATTTTCGCAAACCTACTCATCTGACAAAGGGCTAATATCCAGAATCTACAATGAACTCAAACAAATTTACAAGAAAAAAACAAACAACCCCATCAAAAAGTGGGCGAAGGACATGAACAGACACTTCTCAAAAGAAGACATTTATGCAGCCAAAAAACACATGAAAAAATGCTCACCATCACTGGCCATCAGAGAAATGCAAATCAAAACCACAATGAGATAGCATCTCACACCAGTTAGAATGGCAATCATTAAAAAGTCAGGAAACAACAGTTGCTGGAGAGGATGTGGAGAAATAGAACACTTTTACACTGTTGTTGGGACTGTAAACTAGTTCAACCCTTGTGGAAGTCAGTGTGGCGATTCCTCAGGGATCTAGAACTAGAAATACCATTTGACCCAGCCATCCCATTACTGGGTATATACCCAAAGGACTATAAATAATGCTGCTATAAAGACACATGCACACGTATGTTTATTGCGGCACTATTCACAATAGCAAAGACTTGGAACCAACCCAAATGTCCAACAATGATAGACTGGATTAAGAAAATGTGGCACATATATACCATGGAATACTATGCAGCCATAAAAAATGATGAGTTCATGTCCTTTGTAGGGACATGGATGAAATTGGAAATCATCATTGTCAGTAAACTATCACAAGAACAAAAAACCAAACACCGCATATTCTCACTCATAGGTGGGAATTGAACAGTGAGAACACATGGACACAGGAAGGGGAACATCACACTCTGGGGACTGATGTGGGGTGGGGGGAGGGGGGAGGGATAGCTTTAGGAGATATACCTAATGCTAAATGATGAGTTAATGGGTACAGCACACCAGCATGGCACATGTATACATATGTAACTAACCTGCACGTTGTGCACATGTACCCTAAAACTTAAAAGTATAATTAAAAAAAAAAAAAACAGAGTAGAAGATACTGTTTTGTAAGGGAAACTTAGATCTATGAAGAAAAGCTCCATTTGTAAGAGTATCTCCCTCTGTGGCAGGAAATGAAGAATTACTAAATCATAAGAGACTCCTATCAATGGAGAAGGCACTGACTCAAATCTGCATAACAAACCTTACTCTTCACCATGCTTTTCCTGGTCACCTCCCCACAACTGGCCTCACACACAACCTTTCTTCGTTTTTAGCTGAAGATGTTATTTAAATCTGAATCCTAGCTATCTCTTTGAGATTTACCATTATTTCTTACATACCTCCCTTATATACAAGAGGTGTACATATTAATAAACTTCTGTTTGTTTGTTTTTTCTTGTTAATCTGTCTTTGTTATTGGGGGGGCAGCTAACAATGCAGAGGATATAGGAAAAATTATTTTTTCCTCCTCTACAGTTCCCTCATATTATACTATGGAAAGAAATCCTTTAATGTGCATTCACTCTTAAATCTGTATAAGAGATACATTTTTCCTTTCTCTTAAAAATTATCTTTTAACTCAGTAAAATAACAAAAGTCAAAAAGATGAGGGGGAAGTCAAGGGATTAAAAAAATGGAAGTAAACTAAGATCCTCATATTCACTAACATGTCGGTAAAAGTCTACTGATTTTTAAAAATCACAGATTATATAAATTAACTGTTTGAAGATCACTACTTAAGTGAAAGTAACAAAGACACAGACCACAAAGCGAAAACCAGAAAACAAAGTGATTATTAGAAACAAAAAAATAAAAAGAAGTTGATATAATTAAGAGCAAACATTTATCTCATAACAATCATTGCTTACTGAAGTCAGATATTTGAGGGAAAGAAAATTTCAGACTAAATTAAAAATCAAAAGCCAACTCTATATTTACACAAGTGGCTTATTTTGAATAAAGTCATTCTAAAAGGTTAAAAGTAAAATGGCATTATTTGAAAGGAATCATTCTGTGAAATCAGACAAGAAAAAAAATAAAAGGTATAAACATTGGAATGAAGGCATAAACGTTGGAAAGAAAGAGATAAAACTATAATTTGTAAAGAATATAACTAAAAAATAAACTGGAAAAGATTAGCAGTGTAACTAAGAAGTCAGGTTATAAAACTAGTAAACATAACCTAAAGCCATTTTCATATATATACAATAATGAGAGAAAATAAAATGAAAGAAAATATCTCATTTCTGATTACCTCAGGAATTAAGTTCTATTTAAGGTATTAAGTCCTACTGAACTCAGAAACTCCAATGGATTCTCACAAAATAATGAACAAATACTATTTTTATTTTGAAATATGACAAAAAAGTTTAAGTTTGCCTGGAAAAAGTACACACTAACAAACTAAAAATTTTTTAATAAAAATAGTATTGGGGGAGAGCAGCTAGATATAAGAGAAAATTTAAAGTTTTGTAAACATACAATAATTGTTATTACTAGTGTAGGAGTAGACAGATTGATGAAACAGAGAGTCCAGAAAGATCCAAATTCAAATATATAAAACTTTGGTTTATGAGATACAAAATATGTCAAAATAATGAAGAGAAGGTGGATTATACAATAAATGGTATTAGGAAATTATGCTAACCTTATGAAGAAAAATAAAGCTAGATCCTCACATAATTACTTTCACCATGTGAGTCTGTGAAGGGAATCAGAGTAGGCCATTGCAAAATATGCCACTTTAGACTAAGAACTGTGTTTAACTAAAGGCAATTGTTCTGTGACCTGCAACATTCTGTCTAAAACTAGGACATAGGCTGAGTGCGGTGGCTCACACCTCTAATCCCAGCACTTTCGGAGGCCAAGGTGGGAGGATCACATCAGCCCAGGAGTTTGAGACTAGACTGGGCAACAGAGTGAGACCCGATCTGTATGAAAAATAAACACAAAACCAGGACATAAATTTCCTTTCGTAAAGATGACATATTTTTCCATTTGTGAAGGTGTTCTCCTCTTCCATATCAGAAAGACGACCCCTAATCTGCAAAACAAATCTTAGTAAACAACTCTTAATTACTATACATTTTCTAGTTACTTTCCCACAAGTTACCCATTGCTCTGCCCCACAGAAGCCCCAAACCCCTTTCCTTTGTCTAGCTACCTCTCCATACATTTTTTTTTGAGATGGAGTCTCGCTCTGTCGCCCAGGCTGGAGTGCAGTGGCGCGATCTCGGCTCACTGCAACCTCTGACTCCCAGGTTCACACCACTCTCCTGCCTCAGCCTCCTGAGTAGCTGGGACTACAGGCACCCGCCACCACACCAGGCTAATTTTTTTTGTATTTTTAGTAGAGACGGGGTTTCACCGTGTTAGCCAGGATGGTCTTGATCCCCTGACATTGTGATCCGCCTGCCTCAGCCTCCCAAAGTGCTGGGATTACTTTACAGGCATGAGCCACCATGCCCAGCCTACCTCTCCATACTTTATCACCTTTTGTTAAGTTGGTATATAAGCCCCAAATTCTAACCACCTCCCTGAGTCACATTTCGTCATGAACTCCCATGCAGATGTATTAAGTGAATGTTTTTCTTCCTGGTAATGTCTTTAGTTTGATTCCTGGGTTCTAGACTCTGAACTTAAGAGGGCAGAAGATGACTTTTTTTTCCTCCCCTACATTTTTAGTAGATCTAAGATTTAAAGGTAAAAATAAAATTACAAGAGGATCTAGGAACAGATTAGTGAATCTTTTTAAATGTGATCCTGTGTTGGCAAAGATATTTTGAAGAATGACATAATACTCAGAAGCAATAACAAAATAACAAATATAAGAATCTGAAAACATAAAAATTGGAACAATCTATATGACTATAAAGGAAGAGAAGTCAATAATAAACAGAGAAAATTATTCATGGCACAAATGAACTAGCTAATGGTTATTTTACAACAAAGTGTTCTTTCAAAAGCAATATGAAAAACATTGATAAACCAATAGAAAAATGAACCAATTACATGGACATGTAGTTCATGAGAAAAAAATACAAATGTCTCAAAAATATAAATAAATATTCAACTCCACTTACAATATATCTTAAAACAAAAATTAGCATTCATCACCTATCATATTATTAAAACTTAAAAATTAAGTGATACTTAGTATTGGAGAGAGTAGGAGGAGAAAAGCAATCTCACAAACCTGAAGGACAATTTAGCAACACCCATGGAAACTTCAAATATGTAGTCTTTGGGCCGGGCACGATGGATCACGCCTGTAATCCCAGCACTTTGGGAGGCCGAGACGGGTGGATCACCTGAGGTTGGAAGTTTGAGACCAGCCTGACCAACATGGAGAAACCCCATCTCTACTAAAAATACAAAATTAGCTGGGCGTGGTGGCGCATGTCTGTAATCCCACCTATTCGGGAGGCTGAGGCAGCAGAATCACTTGAACCTGGGAGGCAGAGGTTGGGGTGAGCCAAGATCGCGCCATTGCACTCCAGCCTGGGCAACAAGAGAGAAACTCCGTCTCAAAAAAAACAACAAAAAAAAAAAAAACAAAAAAAAGCAATGTAGTCTTTGACACAGGAATTATACTTCTAGGACTTCATCCTATATATTTACTTCACAAGTACAAAATCCTAATAATAAAGACGGTCTTTGCAGCATTGTTTCAATAATATAAAATAGGGAAATAACACGATGGCTTGTAATGGGGGATCAATAAATTATAGTAATATTAAGATGGGATAGTCTAAAAATATTAGAATAAATTTATATTCTCTTACATAAAAAGGTAACGGCTAAATACAATGACTCTATTTTGCCAATAACTAAGTACTTTTCATACACAAGTTTACTGAAAGCTCACATCAACTCTATGAGATAGACATTTGTATTGTTCACCACGCTAAGCATGAGGAAACTGAGACACATTAAGATGTGAAATAACTTTCCCAAGATGTCACACATAGTAAACGTGGGAATTGGGGTTCAATTCCAAGCAGCATAGCTGAAGATACTGTGCTTCTAACCTCATTCATCATTCTTACAACATATCTTAAAATGAAAATTCATGTTGCCTAATAGCGTGTGTGAGTGTGAACATGCTTGTATAATATTTTTTGTTTAAAGAAGTTATGGGCTGGGTTCCATGGCTTATGACTATAATCTCAGCACTTTGGGAGGCTGAGGCAGGAGGATTGCTTGGGCCCAGGAGTTAAAGACCAACCTAGGCAACACAGCAAGACTGTCTCTACCAAAAAAGCAAAAAAACAGTATTTATTTATATATATATGTATTTATATATGCATCTAAAATTTCTAGAAGATTACAAAGAATATTTATCATTAGTTCTTCTGGTGTGTGAGCCTTGACAAAAAAAAAAAAAAAAAAAAAACTTATTTCTTTCAGGTATTGCATTGAATAACAGTGCAAAATCAAAAGAAACTAATTGTGTAGAAATTAGGTAAAAAATAAAACAATTGGGATAAGCATCAATTAATTTTAGAGAAAGGTAGCTGCAAATGTGTTATTAAGTTATAAAAGAGACAGGCAAAATCATTAAAAAGCAAGCCCTTGGCAAGAAGTCTTTCAAGAAAGTAAGTTCTAAAACAACTATACCAGAGTCAAATCCAAAGTTACTCTTATGCTATGTTCTACATATTCCGGTAGCTTTACATGTAGCTATAATTAAAACAATATAAATTCATAATATAAACCCTGAAATATAAAAGTAGGCCAGGCAGAGTGGCTCATGCCTGTAATCTCACCACTTTGAGAGACCGAGGCAGGTGGATCACCTGCGGTCAGGAGTTTGAGACCAGCCTGGCCAACATGGTGAAACCCTGTCTCTACAAAAAATACAAAAATTAGCTGGGTGTGGTGGTGGATGCCTATAATCCCAGAAACTCAGGAGGATAAGGCAGTAGAATCGCTTGAACTCAGGAAGCGGAGCTCACAGTGAGCCAAGATTGCACCAGTGCACTCCAGCCTGGGCAAGAGAGTGAGACTCTGTCTCAAAATAATAATAATAATAATATTATTATTATATTATATATAACATATTATAATATATAATATATATAATATATATGCAATATATAATATATATTGCACATATATGCTATATATGGTATATTATATAATATTATATTATATTATATAACTTATATTATATATAATAATTATTATATATATAATAATTATTATATATAATAATTATAAATATAATATATAAATATATATATTTAATATATATATTTAATATAATATTATATATTATATTATATGTAATAAATATACATATAATATATTATATATTATATTACATAATATATAATATGTAATATAATATATAATATATATTTTATAATATATTATATATTATAAAATTTCAAAATTTTACATTTTTTAAAAAATCACTAATATACTTAAAATTTCCTATAATGAGATATTGCCTGCTAATTCTGACAGACACCGTAATAGCATGAAACCATTTCTAAGTATGGTGACTTAGTTTTATGAGTCCTGAATACATGTGAATCAAGTGACAATCTTTAGTGTATAGTCACAATTGAAAACTACCTTCCAGTTTGAGATGAATCATAAATAAATGTCCCTGTCTCCTCTTTTTCCCCTTGATATTCTCACAAATAATAATATTATATAATAATATAACTTATATTATTATATATAATATATATTATATAATACAATATTATTAATTTTTATAATATATATTATATTATATATTATTATATAATATTATATATTTAGTAAGGCAAAAGCTATGTGTATTATACAAATATGAGTTTATAATAAATAAGAAAATAAAAAGAACAGTTTCCCTTTAAAAAGAAGTAAGTAACAAAAGAGAAGTTTGGTTAATATATTATGGATTTAACATGAATATACATATTTCTTTTATAATAAACCTAGTTAATAAAATAGAATTTGTTCATTTAAATTAAACATGACATTATGGTTCACTTATGTAATATAACAGTAAGCAGCCATTAAAATTATACCACAGAACAATATTTAATAAAATGGGCTGCTCTTTTAAATATGATATAAAGTAGGCAAAAGACTACAAAAAGGTAGATAAAATACGATCTTTTAGAAAATAAAAGCATATGTCTTCATAGGGAAATAGCCTGGAAATCCAATTTCAAATCGTAATAGTGTAATAATTAACACTGGGTAGTGGGGCTACAAAAAAAGTTTATTTCTGTATTTTCTAAAACAAACATGCTTTTATATTAAAATAATTACCTTAATGTATTTCATAATGTAACATTAAATAATACAGATTTAAATTTTACTAAGCATATTCTTTCTTTTATAATAAAACATTTTCTTTTAATTTTAAAACTACTAGATAATCAGCTATTCAAAATGACCCCAGATAGCTAACATTTTTGTAAACTCTATTTTGTGACATTTAAAAGAAATAAAAGTGGAAGGTAAGTTGAGCTAAGCTTTTCACATTCCTCTTTTCCCACGCATCCACAGTACTCCTAGAACTGCCACATAAAAAAAATTTCAACTAGATATTGTATCTAGGAAAAGTAAAATTTAAAAACTAAAACATTCCTAAAGATCTGGTACTATTATACCTTTGCAAGGAACTCCCGAAATAGATTATTCTGTATTACATGGCCTCAATATCACCCTAGTGAGCTTGTTTCCTAGTTTCTCTCACTATATTACAAATACTTCTGTCCCATTGCTAATTCACAACAAAGAGGATGGGCTCAGGTAGTTATTCTCCAAATCCTAAAATCTCAAAATTTTACATTTTTTAAAAAATCACTAATATACTTAAAATTTCCTATAATGAGATATTGCCTGCTAATTCTGACAGACACCGTGATAGCATGAAACCATTTCTAAGTATGATGACTTAGTTTTATAAGCCCTGAATACATGTGAATCAAGTGACAATCTTTAGTGTATAGTCACAATTGAAAACTACCTTCCAGTTTGATATGAATCATAAATAAATGTCCCTGTCTCCTCTTTTTCCCCTTGATATTCTCACAAAAAATATTCCTCAATTTTTTTAGCCAATTAACATTACCTTGATCATCTGAGGCCTGCCTCTCTTGGTGTTCAAAGTCTCAAAGTAGAAGTCATTGTTCACTAATATTCTCTTTCCATATGATAGAATACATATAATGACTTCATAATACTCTTGAAAGAACAAAGTTACTAAATACCTATAAAGTAGAATTAGATAATGACTCTAAAATGGGGAAATTGAAAGCATAATCTGACAAAATGCTCCAAATAATCACAAAAAGTCTCACTTCTTATGATCCTGAACTTAGAATTTTACAAGTACATGAATTCTGACAAAAGTCTTACTTCATAAGCAAAAACACCTTATATATATGTGTGTGTGTGTGTATATATATATATATATACCAGAGATTTAAAAAATAATTGAAATTTAAATTTTAGTATTAGTCATTTAAGTGGGGTGCTCTGTATAGTCCTATGAAATAGAAAACAAACAAAAAAAGCTGTTTATTTCCTTCCTTGATCACTGGTTTTCAGTAATTGCCTAAATTTGCTTTCACTAAATAATTTCAAGGGAAACTATTACAAGGTCATGGTGATCTATGTTTACTCAAGCAATTATTTCAACATCTCTTTCTTAAGATGTATCTCCATTCGACAATTTTTTTTCAAACATAATTAGGCCAGAAACCACCTCCAATTAACACAGAAATTTTTCCATGACATACAGGGAAAGAAAGCAGGCTTACAAGGGTGAGGTTACATATATGATGTTTACCCACTTGGGAATGATTTCTAGACAAAATCAGGTGCCACTGGAATGTTACATCAAGGTTAACAAAGAAAACCAAGTAAGCCAATAGCCTGGAAACCTGTGATATGCACAGATTTTCTGTAAGTAGGGCTAGGAAATGTCTTTCTTGCAATAACATAATAGTTGCACCCACAAAGGGAATCATGTATATTTTTTAAAAATGCTTGAAGACAATAAGAAATAGAAGGGAATTTTATGGTTGTAGGCTCAAAGAGTAAGAAGAGATCAGTTTACTGTGTGCTAACAACATGAACAGCATATAGTAGTATTTCCTACATTGACAACATGAAGCTAAAGGACATACAGTAAGCTAAGTAACATGAAGCTAAAGGACATACACATACAGTAAGATGTAATGGTTCACTTTACTCTCTTCCCCCTTGGCTGTCTCTTCGCTTGGTCTCTGACAAGAACATTCTCATGAAAAAGAAAAACAAGTCCTTAGAAACATAAAGGGCTTTCAAGAAATGGCAGGCACCTAACAAGAAAAACACAGCATATAGGTGGAGAACCCTGACTGCTACTAATCTAACTTCAAGTGTCAACACTGAAAAGAACACAAGCTGACTGGGGAGCAAGTAACTGCAAACAAATACAATGGTTGGGGCATATTAATATTTATTAATATGTATATACATAACCTCCACTGGGGTACCCGTGGAGTGTCTCAACAGTGTCCTGATTTTTCCTTTCTTCTCTCTCTCCCTAAAGTACTTCAAACCCAACCTATACTCCTCCTTCCCTCTCCTTCCATTTTAACTGCCCTCCCTTCTGAATGTACTCTATCTAAAGTGTAGCCCTACTTCCTTTACTAGTATTAATATTTTTCCAAAAGAATATAATTATAGAAGTTTAAAAGCCAAACACTTAGGTTTGTTATATAACAAAGTGTAATCCTCTGCCCTCCCCCTCCACATTTCTGATTCTTGTCCTCCATCCCTCCTTTAAGGCAGTCATACACACACTATCCTCCTCACATGTTGGGAAAATCATTAGGTAGACAGCCCTTCATATCCATGAGTTCTGCAGATGGCTGCATTTGTACTGAGCATGTACAGGCTTTTTTTCTTGTCATTATTCCTTAAACAATATACTATAACAACTATTTACACAGCATTTACATCACATTAGGTATTATAAGTAATCTAGAGATGGTTTAAAGTAGACAGGAGGACGTGTGTGGGTTATATGCAAATACTATGCCATTTTAGGAGACTGATTTGGGTAGTAATAAACTCCAGTCTCCTGCACAGCCGGCTCTGCATGAATTACTCTTTCTCTATTGTAATTCCCTTGTCTTGAGAAATCTGCTCTGTCTAAGCAGTGGGCAAGGTGAACTCATTGGGTGGTTACAAAAGCAAGTACCTGACTGCTGGGCCTAGGTCCCCTCTTCACCATCTCCACTCAAGTGTGTAGACCAACATCTTCTTCTAGCCTTCCTTGGTCCTACAGCCCACTATCCACCACAGGGATGCTGAGAGCATAAGCTCAATTTTTGAAGGGTGGTAGACATGACTAGGGAAGGGAAGCCAGAGACCTGAGTTTGGGGCTGGCTCTGACATTTTCTACCTATAAACTTAAGGCTCTCTGACCCTCAGTTTCTTCATCATTAAAAGAGGCATAAAACTAACCCAGGCTATTTGGAAGTTAAGATGAATGTCACTTTTGCTTTTTGTGTTTTGTTTGTCTTTTTTTTTTTTTTTTTTTTTTCTTGAGACAAGAGTCTTGCTCTGTCACCCAGGCTGGAGTGTAATGGTGCGATCTCGGCTCACCGCAATCTCCACCTCCCAGGTTCAAGCAATTCTCCTGCCTCAGCCTCCCAAGTAGCTGGGACTACAGGCGTGTGCCACCACGCCCAGCTAATTTTTGTATTTTTAGTAGAGATGGGCTTTCACCATGTTGGCCAGGCTGGTCTCAAACTCCTGATCTCAAATGATCTGCCCACCTCGGCCTCCCAAAGTGCTGGGATTACAGGCGTGAGCCACCACGCCTGGCCGAATGTCACTTCTTGTCTCCCAATTCTTGCTAACAGTCGTTACTTCTTAATAGGCGCTGAGGTTTGCAATATTTTAGGAGTTTGCTGGAGGGCTAGGCCACATATCCAGTTTTTTTTTGGTTGTTTGTTTTTGTTCCTTTAGCAACAAGGATGTTTATTTCACCTGGGTGCAGGCGAGCTGAGTCCGAAAAGAGAGTCAGTGAAGGGAGATAAGGGTGGGGCTGTTTCATAGTTTGACTGTAATTTTCCACATATCCAGTTTTAACCAGGATCTAGCCAGATAGCCAGATCTGAGGCCTAGATAGAAATTTGGTCCTTTGTGGAATTGCTTTTACTGAACTTCCATTTGTAGCTGACCAGTAGTTACCTGGGTATACACAGGTGTGTTACTGAAGCTGTAGACCACCTGATTGGGCACTGCTGTATTTATGAGCTTCTTGGAGAAATTCTCTCAAACCTCAGCACTTAGAAAAGAAAAAAAAAATACTTTGCCATACATGAGTTGAGCATCCATGGATTTTGGTATCCGTGGGGAATCTGGAACCTATCCCCCACAGACACTGAGGGATGACTGTGTTATTATTATCATAAAAGTTGTTTATACCTGAGCTACTTCATGTATATAAGTATCTCTTCTTTCTCACACAAATTTTTGTTAACTATAAAGTTATAAACTGTCTTTGTTTTTTGAATAACTTTTTGGTGTACATTCACTAATTCAGCCCTAGGCATTCCAAAAGGACTATAAAACTTCCTTCCCGCCAGTGTATCGCCTCAGATAATATATTAGCTTCATGCTTGTTTGTTTTCCTTAGACACTGTCCTGGAGTCTTCTGACTGTTTTAATCTGGACTATAAACTCTCTAGGCACTGAGCCAACTATTAGCCTAAACTTCACAGTCATTGTGGGAATTCCCTTCACATCTCTCTGCTGGATCCCATTTCCTGGATTCCACATTTTCCTTCTTCATTTATTAATTCCCTGAATTTCATGGTACACAACTCCAGTAGCTTTCTGAGAAACAGCAGACAAAACATATCTTTAAGACACTGTATGTATAAAAATATCTTTATTCTACTCATGCATATGATTGATAATTTTGGTATAGAATTCTAAGATGAAAATTACTTTTCCTCAGAATTTTTAAGGCATTGCTCTGTTTTCTCCTTTCTTTGTTAAAACGGAGAAATCCGATACCATCCAGATTTCCCAACCATTAACGTGGCCTGTTGTTTCCCCTGAAAGTTTTCAAGTTCTCCTTATCTCTGGTGCATAAGAATTTCTAAATGACATGTCTTGGTGAAAATTCCTTTCTTCTTTATTGCACATTTAATAAGGCTTTCTATCTCAATATTCACTCACGTCTAGCTCTAGGACAATCTCAGTATTACTTGCTTGATAATTTCACTTCCTTTTCCTCTGTTCTCTAAGTTTCTGTGTATTAGTTGGATGTTGGACCTCCTGGATTGATTATCTTCTACTGTATAATTTTTCTCTCCTATTCTCCATATCTACTATTTCTACTTCATTGGGAAATTCTCCTAACTTTATCTTCAAAAATGTAAGACATCTTAAAATGTCCACTCTCCTTTTAATGTCCTTTTGTCCTCTGAATATCACTTTATTAGAAAACTTTATTCCTTCTACATATAGTATCTTCTCTTCTATTAATTATAATATTTTTAAAGTTTACTTCTCCTTCCTACATTATCTCCATTCTCTTCTACTCCCATTTTTCCTTTGGGTTATCTTACATGTTTGGCTCTACGTACTTAATTCTTTAAGAGTGCTAAAATATTAGTTTACTAGGGCTGCCATAACAAAATACCACAGTCTGGATGACTTAAACAGAAACTTATCTTCTCACAGTTAGGCAGGCTGGAAGTGCAAGAATGCAAGATCAAGGTGTTGGCAGGGTAGGTTTCTTCTGAGGCCTCTCTCCTAGGCTTGCGGTCTAGTCACCTTTTGTATCCACACAGTGTTTCCTCTGTGCAAATACCGCTAAGTATGTCCAAATTTCCTATTCTTATAAGGACACCAGTCAGATTGTATGACAGCCAATCCAAAAGGCCTCATTTTAACTTCACCGTGTCCAAATTCAGTCACATTCTGAGGTGCTGGGGTTTGGGACTTTAACACATGAACTTGGGGGTAGGGACACAATTTGGACCATAACAATACATTTCTATAAAGTTGATTGGAGTACTGTGCCCTTGCCTAGGCTTATTAACTAGTGAATCTCTTTGTAGGATGAAAAAGTAGTGACCACATGAGCCAGTGCTTATTTCTCTTCTCCACATGGAAAAGCCTATTTTTTTTCCTTGAATTTTAGACTACCTAGATGTTATCAATCTCAGCTGTCTAGTAGGTTAAAAAAATTGAAATTGTGTAGATTATCTGTCTTTATCCTTATTGTTCTGTGGGAGTGATATCACTATGGGAGTGACATTCTTTCTGGCTTTTCACATCCCAAGACAAAGTACAACCGAGCTGTGCACTCAAATTAAATCACTACTTTGGTCTGTGCAGAAGATGGATGTTTCTTGAAGAATAACAGTAGTTTATTGTCAGCTTAATCCAGTGATGACTCCAGTCACAACAGACAATTCCATTTTCTTGGAATAAGTCATCAAAGCCCCTGAAAACAGGCAGGTACCTAACAATCTTGAAAATTCCTTTTTTAAAAAAAGTAAACTTAAAGTTGTCCAAAGTAATTTTAAATCACCATACTTACTAAGATGTATATATCTAGAATAATTCTGAACTAGCTATCTAGAAAAAGGTGAAAAATTAAGAGTGAATTAAAAATGAAAGCAACTTGGGGCGAGGTGCAGTGGCTCACGCCTGTAATCCTAGTACTTTGGGAGGCCCATGGGAGGATTGCTTGGGGCCAGGAGTTCAAGACCAGCCTGGGCATCACAGCAAGACTATGTCTCTATGCAAAATTTTAAAAATTCACCAGGTGTGGTGGTGCACACCTGTAGTCACAGCTACTCAGGAGGCTGATGTGGGAAAATTGTTTGAGCCCAGGAGGTCGAGGCTGCAGTGAGCTATGAGCATGCCACTGCACTCTAGCCTCAGTGACAGAGTGAGATCATGTCTGAAAGAAAAAATAAATAAATAAAAAATAAAAACACTTGGGCTCCAGTTTCATTTCCACAACATATTAGGCAGGTCAACAGTGGTAAGTCACTTACTTAATCTGTCAGAATCATAGTTTTTCAACTACAGAGCAAATTAATTATGTACCTGAAGTACTATAAAAATTTTATAAGACATTATACAAATGTGGTTAATTTCATTATTTAAATCAAAGATGTTACAGTAAAGTCATTTTAATATGTTATACCACATCAAAAGTTCTCATTAATTCTCCAGATTCTGCAAGCATTTAAGTGACTACACAGGTTATTCCATAATTTACAATTTTTGGCAAAACTACTTGTAGTCAATTCTCATTATTCGTGGATTTCAATATTTGAAAAGTTGCCCACTTGCTAAAACTTATTTGTTACCTCAAATCTGTAGAGCTTTTTTGGCATTTGCTGACAGGTCAGAGTGACAAAAACTTTGAGTTGCCCAATGGGCACGTTCCCAGCTGAGGTCAAATAAGGTGCACTTTTCCTTCATTTTTCAGCTCTTATTCTGTAAGCAAATGTCCTTTCTTCACTCCACTTAGTGCCATACTTTTTGTAAGTTTGTGCTTTTTGTTGGTGATTTTGCTGTTGAGAATATCTCCTATGCACAGTGCCAAAGTGCTGTCTAGTGTTCCTAAGTGCAAGAAGGTTGTGATGTGCCTTACGGAGAAAATACTCGTGATGTACCTTATAGAGAAAATATTCGTATCAAATAAGCTTCATTCAGGTATGAGCTATAGCAGTATACTAGCCATGAGTTCAAAGTTAATGAATCAAAAATGTACATTAAAGTGTCTTTAAAAAGAAACACACGTGAAACATGGTTATATAATGATTTACTGATGAAAATGTGACCAGAGGCTGGCAGGGACCTAATGCCATATTTTGCAAACAACAATGGTTCTATATGCACTGATTCAGTGTTTTCTGTGACTTTACAGAACTTAAATAACAGCAAATAACAGTACTACAGTTTAAATGATACAAGAAATTCTTCTGAATGTACAGAGTTAAACAATTTAAGAAGTCCTAGTTAACTATTACCAAGATAAGTGGATCTCAAAAGTCCCCATTTTTATAGTAAATTTATAAGGCTCTCTTTACAAACTTGAAGTGAATTAACATGGTAAAACCTGCCCCCACACATAATTTCAAAACAAGTATTATGCTCTGAGTAATATAAAGAAAAAATAAGACTATAATTTATGTTAAATAATGTATTTCATTATGAATACGTCTCAGACTCAACTACATTAGAAAACACATCCCCACAAATTTCCGCAACTCTCCTGATGAGAATCATCCACATTCATTTGGCCCTTTTGCAGTTTCAAGAAAACTGTTTATAGTGTACAAGTGCACGCCAAAGTAGCATCCAATATGCAAACCTATCACATCCAAATTTCATCACATACACATGTAAGAATCTGCAGCAAATGAGAAGATAAAGGTAAGATGCACCTTTATTTTATTTAAAATTTTTTTTTAAAAAAGTCTTGCTCTGTTGCCCAGGCTGGAGTACAGTGGCACAATCACAGCTCACTGCAGACTTGACCGCCTGGGCTCAAGTGATTCTCTTGTCTCAAATTCCCAAGTAGCTGGGATAACAGGCATGTGCTGCCACACCGAGCTAATTTTTTTAATGTTTTGTAGAGATGGGGTCTAACTATGATGCCCAGGCTGATCTTAAACTGCTGGACTCAAGCAATCCTCCTGCCTCAGCCTCCTATTAAATTGCTGGTATTACAGGTGTGAGCCATTCCCTCCACCAAATGTACCTTTAATTGAGTAAGGCACATATACAGGGTCACACAAGATTAGTTTGTGACATGAAACATTCTTACAATAAATAAAGGAATTGTTTTCTCTTCCATCAAAATACTCTATTAGTGATACTTTTCTCCAGTCATTCCCTTGAGTCCTCTCAGACTTACAGCCCACCAATTCCCTGCCAAGAAATCACATCAATACTGGTCTGCATAAAAGTTTACATGGCTCAGATACATGCTTTTCCTCTTTTTCACATTAGACTTTCAGCTCTGCTTCATCACAACACTCTATTTGACCAGTCAATTTCCAATGGAAGTTTATTTTAACAATATTTGCAGGACTGCAGCTGCAACCCTGCAGTCCCCCATCTGCCATCTAACACCCACAGCCGCTACTGCTACCAAGCAACACTCCTCCTTTCATAATAGAAGAAACATGGATATGTAAGTGCTCTATGGCAGCAAAGCCTGTTATGGCTATTTTTTTTTTAAAACATAGAAGCAGAAAAAAGTGGGGCAGGGTAAAGAAAAAGTATAGTTTTATAATCATACTTAGGGCAACTAAACTGAAAGGAGAAAAAAAAATCCCCCTTGGCCGGGTGCGGTGGCTCACACCTGTAATCCCAGCACTTTGGGAGGCCGAGGCGGGCAGATCACCTGAGGTCAGGAGTTCAAGACCAGCCTGGCCAACATGGCAAAACCCCATCTCTACTAAAAATACAAAAATAAGCCAGGTGTGGTGGCACACACCTGTAGTCCCAGCTGGCTCAGGAGGCTGAGGGTGCAGTGAGCTGAGACTGCACCACTGTACTCCAGCCTGGGTGACAGAGTGAGACTCCATCTAAAAAAAAAAAAAAAAAAATTCCCTAATCTATGGAACTGAACTACTTCCACTTGAAGGAGCAAGAAAGACCTGCACAGGACATTTTGGGTTCTCTTTCACACTGATGCACAGGGAATTTGGGAAGTTAATGCCCTTCTTATGCCATCTCAAATGTGAACTGTCATGTGACTTCATACAAGCAAGGGTGAGTGTGAATCTGAAGACACTGGTTTCCAAAACTTTACAATAATGAACAGTCTCAGGCAGATTGCTCCACTCACCCTCAAGGGCCACCTAATGCATGCTCCTGACTGCAAGCACCCTGCCAGCTGTGCAGAGGAGTCACTCCACCATCTTCAACATCTACACAATTGCCAAAGGAAAATAAGAACAGAAACAATTACCAGAGGATGCAAGTTAAAGAAATTCTCCTCAATTACACTGCCTGAGTGGTTTAATTTAAAAAGAATTTGGGGCCCTAATATAACATCTTGTCAGGGTCATACAAGTTTGTTCAAGTCACTAAGATATTTTCAGCAAATTATATCTTCATTAGCCTAATATCTCACTTTTATTTTAAAAACCATTAATTCACAAGCCATTTTCAGGAATATTGCTGTGTGTTAATAAAGTTTTATTGTATCTTGGGTAAGACTAACATTAGTCTGTATTATGTTGCAAACACAGACAAAGCCATGGCTCTTTATTTTCATTCATTCATTCGACACAGGGTCTCATTCTGTCACCCAGCTGGAGGGCAGTGGCACAATCATGGCCCACTACAGCCATGACCTCCTGGGCTCAAGCAATCCTCCCACCTCAACCTCCCAAGTAGCTGAGACCACGGGTGTGCACCACCACATCTGACTAGTTTCTGTATTTTTTGTAGAGATGGAGTCTCCCTACGTTGCCCAGCCTGGTCTCAAACTCTTGGGCTCAAGCAATTTGCCTGCCTTGGCCTCCTGAAGTGCTGGGGTAATAGGCATGAGCCACCGCGTCCAGCGCCATAGCTCTTTGCACATCATTCAAAGAATGATAACAAGTTATATTGTAAAGACCTATGGTATTGTTAAAGAATTATTTTATAAGTGATAGCATTCCAAACTGCAATTAGAATATCACTTACAAAATTTTTGCCTATTCACTTAACATTTTTATAGATGTTAGCTCATACACGTATTTTTAAACTTCCTATAGATTTCCATAGAGAACTTCATATGGGTGACATTATATTGAGTCCCAGTACAAGCCCAGGAAGGCAAGAAGTTCAGAAAATCCCAGGTGTTTTGTTTTTGATTATCTGGACTTAGGAGTCCCCTTATAACACAAATGATTTTCTTAAATTCCATGTTACTATGGGATTCTGTTGTAATCAATTTATACACGCACATACAGGGTCAGAGGTAATGTTCTATTTATGTACTCCACCAACAGTCCATATCACAGTCACAATACACTGGCTCGCAACTTTCCTGGGTCATCTACCCCTTAAACTAGTGCTAGCTCCCACGGTAACATTTGTACATTCATAGTGTGAGTTATACTGGGATTAACGGAATACTTACATTCATTCCAGAGGCCTTGTCTGGAGACTGTATAGTCAGGTTATGTGCATGTGAATTTGCTGCCACATGGCACAAGCATATTTTATTAAAATCTTTTCTAAACTGGAATATAAATCCCTATAGCCAATCAGGTCATACTGCCCACCCCTCTGACAACCTGACTCAGTAAGGTTTGGGTCGAGTAAAAGTGCCAACTTCTTAAGGCTGCAAAACCATATCTAGATGATGTCAGCATCTAAATCCAGTTGTAACTTATGGGGGAAAGTTTGGGGTCTTCGGACCTTACATTTTCAACTGTGCTATCTAACTAACCAAGACTGATTCCATCATCTAATTTATATAAACAGCAGACCTCAGTTTACAGTCCTACTCATAAAAGACCCTCTTATTTGGCACTGGTGAAGGAGGCACAGCCTGGGTGATGGGTCATGGTCACTTCACCTTTCTTTTACATATCTACTCTTTATTAGTTCATTCCAAGTTCAAATCCTAACCTGTACCTTAATCCCTGGTTCCATAAAGTTGATTTATACAAATCCCCAAATCTGCCCCACCCCCTTGCTAAAGCATGGCTGACTCAAGCTTCCACTGTCGGAGAGGTCCAGCACAGGATGTTCAGTCAACTCAAGACACTTACTTGTCAGCCTCTCAAAACTGTGTGGCAAGAACCTGGATACCTTAGATTTCAGTTTCCTAAGTAAGTCTCAGCCTATGAAAGGCAGGGCTATAGCTCCATTAGAGTGAAGGCACTATGGTACTTACAGAGCTGGTGTTTCAGAGTCAGACAACCTCTGCTGTGTGGGAGAACTGGGGATGGGGTAGACTTCAGAGAATCACCAGTCTATTTCCAGGAGTGTTTTCACTTCCAGGACTGCTGCCAAGTTGTCTGCTCAGTCTCTCTCAGCCTGTATCTTCTCCCGCACCTTAACCCCTCCCAACATCTGAGGCAAAACACCTCAACCACACATTTTTCAGAGTCCTTGATGTTCCCGTCTCCCCTCCAAGTCTTGCAAAACGAAAGCAAAAGGGGTGAAACAAGGTCTAGATCAGAATCCAAGGTTTCCACAGTCCCAAAATGACACAGTACACATTAGGAATGAAGGAAGCTAAATAAAATTCAAGTCTAGGTGGTAGAGTATTGAGCTACGAAGTTCCTTTATAGGGACTAATATATCACAAAATTTTTGTCCTTCAAAGTCACACTCAGCATACATACATTCTGTTATGCTCAACCTCATACAAACTGCTTATGCTCTAGAAATAACAGATACAGAAAAATGAAGTAATAAAATATGAACTTTAGGACTACCTTTCATGCTCAGGCTAGTCTATTTTGGGACATATGTTTAACATTAAACTGATCATACAGTCAGATGCACTGACTCAAGGCCTTCTAAAGTCTGGGCTGAGAAACTTCAACCTATTACTACTTGGTTATTCTCTTGTATGGTTAGCCTCCGTAAAATGTGAATAAAGAAAAAGTGGGGTTTTCACAGGACTAAAAAGCTATTAAAAGAGTTCTCTGGGATTTTGTAAAAAGAAATATAAAAGTATACACAAGAAACTAGTAAGAATGGCTGTTATAATCAATGAGGAGAAGGGTAGAAGACGTTTGGGATGACTGGTAAAATAAATCTTAGCCTATACCTTTTAATAAAATTTGTATTTTTTAACCATGAAATTATAATACCTACAAAAGTAAAGATAAAATAGTGAAAAATAGTTAGCATGGCAATTGGAAATGGAAAAAAAACACATGGAGGTGATACATGAATAACTAAAGTTTGAAAATTACCACTTTGAGTCTGGGTGTGGTGGCTCATGCCTGTAATCCCAACACTTTGGGAGGCCAAGGTGGGTAGATCACTGGAGGTCAGGAGTTCGAGACCAGCCTGGCCACCATGGTGAAACCCTGTCTCCACTAAAAATACAAAAATTAGCTGGATGTGGTGGCACACGCCTACAATCCCAACTATTTGGGAGGCTGAGGCAGAAGAATCACTTGAACCAGGGAGTCAGAGGTTGCAGTGAGTTGAGATCATGCCACTGCACCCTAGCCTGGGTAACAGAGCGAGACTTCATCTCAAAAAAAAAAAGAAAAGAAAAGAAAAGAAAACTAAAGCTTTGATGTAAGAACCTTCTCCCTACTCCACCCCGCTCCACCCCCGATCCCACTCCCATCCCTTTTCTTTCCTTTGCTAAAGCCAATTTTCTTGTATCATTTTTCTTGACCTCTTACAACAGCTTCAGCACATTTGACTATTTCCTTCTGGAAACCTTCCTTTGGCCTGATAGTCATGACATATCTTTCTCGTCTTCTTCCTGCCTCTCTAGCAACTAGTCCACAATCTCCCTTTCAGACCCTTTCTCCTTTAACCAGACACTAAAGACTGTACTTCCTGAGGATTCCACAGCCCTCTTCTCTTCTCAGTTTACATTCTCCCCTTTAGTCTCATTTACTTGGTTCAAATTACAACAAAGAAGCTGCCACTCTAAAAGCATCTTCGGCCCAGATGTACATCTTCTTGTGTGTAATTTTGTTTTGTTTTGTTTTTTCCAGGAAAAACATATTGAAATTCCTTGCATTCTCTATCTTACCCAGTTATAACATCTAATACCTAGTAAGGGATCTGTAAATAGTCCAGTTAACAATTTTAATTTAGCCTAAGCCATTATTTTTTACTTATAAATTCAACTAAACAATCTAACTAAAGGTAGAACTTTTGGGAGGTCAATCTACAAAGGAACAAAAGACCAATCCTTACAGTATTATTTAAGATGATTATTTACAGTACTCATTCACAGGGCCACTTCTGACTTACTGAATCAGACTCTCCAGTTACAAACTTCAGAATACATGTTCCCTGATGTTCTACAAGAATTTCTAGTACTCTGGTTTATAACCATTGGTCTACATATCTCTCTAATTGACAAATATGGTCATTCCAATTATTTAGAACAAAGGTCTCCCCAATTCCTGATCTATTACCCATACCTAAAGTTCAAACTGAGAAGAAAATGGATTATTAGAGAGGAAGTAAGTGAAACAAATTTAAGAACATTCATTCAATATAATGAATTCCTCTTCAATACTATACTGAAAGGGCATAGGAAGAAGGAGTCAAGTGGATTCTATCACACTGAAAATTATCCCAAGCAGAAAGCTGGGTAAGTGCAAGGAATAAAAATGAGTAAGAATAGGGTTATTAACAAATGAGATCTGAGAGGAATTTAAAAAATTAAACAGAGGGATGGTTTCCCAAGTTTTAGACGTTGTATAAGCTGTCTATAATCATTTCTTTAATGTACCTAAATTCATCTGCTAGTTCTTTGTGGGGAAAATGCCTCAAGTTCATGGAGTAGACCCAAATTAAATCTCTCTACCATGACCATAATTTCTTTTAAACCGTTCTAGAGATGTAGACTATTTCACATCTGCACTAAATGAGAAACAAACCATCAGCTTTTGATGTCACATTAAAAACAAGGTAGTTACTACTAAAATATAGCACTTTGGCTGTATGAGTTATTTAATTACTACGGAGACAATTTAAATTTTCCCCCTTTTCTTTTCTTTATTATTTGCTTTTTCTCCATGTTCAGGGGAAAAAATCAAGTTCATAGAACTACAATTTGTGGCATATCTAAAACAGCTGTGGTTGAATGATACAGTATTTGAAATCCCCCAAATTATGTGAGTTCAAAGACTGTGAATTTCTTGGGAACAAACAACAGCAGAAAAAAAGAAAAGGAAAAAAAGACAACTCAACATGAAAGCCAAACATATTCCCTAATGAGGCTTCTGATGAAGTCATAAATTCCTCTTTTTCTTTTCTAAGTGAAGTCTCCAAATAATACATTTGTCATGGAGAGAGAGATCAAAATTCAACAATTTTTAAAGCAGTAAATCACATTAATAACTTAATCTATTCTTATATATAACTTGAAGTTGTCTAACAAAGTTTAGTGAAGGTGTGTCTGATAATTTTTAAAAACTGGTCTGGCAGAATGACATAATTAATGTCCAAACATAAATATTCATTTAGATTTTGGCCTTTTTAAGATTGAATCATTTTTTCTTAGGAGCTTCTCCTAAAGCAAATACCTGCAAAAATATACTAGTTAAAATATTTCATTTAAACAGATCAGTGATAACTTTCATGAGTTGAATTCATATTACATACAGCTGTAAATGCCATTAGTATTACTTCAGGCAAACTTGACTATCACAAAGCAACTTCTGGGAATATGGTCAAACAATGCATGCAATATTTGCAAACTGAAAAATACTGCAAAATCATATGGCAGGGGAAAAACTCATATGGCAAGGAAAGCCTGTTATTTTGTGACACCATAAGATTACCATGGTTAATAAGAATGCAACACTTCATTAACCTCAAACCACTGTGAGCCCCAGGGTTTGAAGTAACCAGTACTACAAGAAAAAATATATCTGCTATGCTGCTCAAAGTACTCCAGTGTTATACTGAAATTATCTTTGCATGACGATAAACCAGCATATTGATCTGTTGGGTGGCAGGGTGAATACCACATAAATCCTATGTCTATAAACTTGTTCCTGAATAATGAAAGATTACAAGAAAAATACCAAATTCACTGAACTTTTGTCATTCCAATTTAATTGTTTAGATAAGAACTTCTTGGACCATTAAAGTTCTTTAGCACACAAATCCATAGGTATCAAGTGTGCCCATGATAAGAAATGTCAGCCTTTAGGAAATGTAAAATATGCATGCCATTTTAACAAGTAAAAGTGAGAAATTAATATTGCTAATAGTATATGCAAGTAAAGAAGTATGAGACATGAGTCTTGCCTTCTGAAAGCTTTTGAAATTTTTATAATGGAAACATATTTATATACAACAGTTAAATAACAATACAAGTTAGTAAATAACTGGATTAATACTTATTTGGGGTTGCTCTGTATTGATTAGCAATGCTTATTAGTATGTTATTCTGGCACATGGTAGGTTCTCAGTAGGTAGAAGCTCAAATAGGTATGCAATGGTTTATGTGAGAGAAAATAAGAACAAGAAATTCCTAACGTATGTTGAGGTCAAACTTAGAGTGTATTGTCAGGAAACGCTTCCTAGAGTACAAGGTACTTGAGCAAAAGGGCATTCTGGGGTAGAATGAGAGACAAAAGAAAAAGACAGAAATGAGTGTACTAATAAGAAACCAAGGAGATGTACATGATGCAGAATTAACATGACTAAAGTCAAAGGCTAGGCTTAAAAATATGGATATTATCAAATAAGCTATGGGGATCACTAAAGGTTATTGGCAAACATCACTTTTAAAGAAGATTAACCTGTCTTTGGTGAGCTCGATGGAGAAGAGAAAACAAACATGTTAAATGTTTTCATAGCAATCTAGAAAAAAGTGATGACACTAGGGGTGGGTGTTAAGTAGTGGTAATAAAAACTGAAACTGGAGATGTTTCCAAGGAAGAATTAACAGGACTTATAAAATTAACTCCATATCAAGAACAAAAGAATGGGTAGGGTTAAGAATTTTGAAGTTTTCAACAGAAAACTTCAGTACTAGAGTTCTCAACAGAAAACTTCAGTACTAGAGTTCTCAACAGAAATGGGGAGGTTGGAAAATAGCAATATTTTAACTGGGGAGAGGAATGGAAAATATATAATAATACTTCTAGTCATAAAATGCCCCCTAACACTCTGCACAGTCCTTTCCCAAACATTTATTTTATGCTAATAGTGGCAAAATGAGCAATGCACATATTATCTCCACTTAACAGATTTGGAAATAGAAGTATCAAGGAGGGAAGGACAGTCAGTGAATGCTTAATCCAATACATAGATTTCTCTCCCTCCTATACCAAGGTTCTTTTTCCTAAAATAACTTTGTTTTTAACACCATGACATATAATTCATCAGGAATTGATCACGTAAGTTAAAATAGTTAACTTGCTTTTATTTATTCAAAGAACATTTTTGAACATTACAAATAGGCCCTGTGCTAAGCACTGGAAGTAGGGTAATGAATGAGATCAACACAGTCCCCACTTTCCATTTTATGAAGAAACAAGTAAACAAATATAAAACAAAAATTTTCAAATACTATTCAATGCTATGAAACACAAATGTCAATGTGCTGGGAAGAAGAGCTCATCTGGGGGCAAGTACAAACCTAGACCAGTCAAGAAAGAGAAAAAGGTCAGATGTGGAAGATGGAAAAAACAAGCAGTTAGTGTGGCAGGGACAAGCAGGGACCAGGGAGCCAGGACGCATAGGGCCTTATAGCTCCAGTAACCACACCTTCTACTTCACCTGGGACAGGACTGGACACACCTGTGCTCCAGGTACAATCAGTAATAGCACTTCCTTTTACTCTCAAAAGAGTTCTAATTTCAATGATAAATTAAATGGTCACCCTAGTTCCAGACAATGTACGGTAATGATATAGAATTAAATCCAAAATAAAAGCCAGGCATGGTGGCTCACACCTATAATCCCAGCACTTTGGGAGGCCAAGGCAGATGGATCATTTGAGGTCAGAAGTTTGAGACCAGCCTGACCAACATGGTGAAACCCCGTCTCTACTAAAAATACAAAAAAAAAAAAAATTAGCTGGGCGTGGTGGTGGGCGCCTGTAATCTCAGCTACTCGGGAGGCCAAGGCAGGGGAATAGCTTGAACCCAGAAGGCAGAGGTTGCAGTCAGCCAAGATTGTGCCACTGCACTCCAGCTGGGCAAGAGAGCAAGACTCCCTCTCAGAAAAAAAAAAAAAAAAAACACAGTGGGGAACCACTGGAGGAAGCCATAGTGGACTAATCTAATATTATCAATGTATCTATTCTAAAATGTCATGCTTCTCTGTATACTCAACATAAACTGTCTATGTATACTTATTTTAGCTGATTTAACATTTCTTTCTTTTTAGGCTAAACGTTGTTTTGTGATTGCCCTTCAGATCTTTCCTATCTTCAATAGACCTGTCTGAGCTGAACGCTATATACTTCTATAGAGCAATGTATAATGAATTTTGTTAGGGAGCTTTCCAAAGCATGCAGTTCCCTTTCTCCAAGCTACTGCCTACTGCCCAAATAGACCAAAGTTTGGTGAGGTCAGTAGAAACCTAAATGAGGGAAGATCCTTGTAAGCCTACTTTACAGACCACCACATACAGCAATGTAACAAGTGCCTCACAAACAGATTCTGTATTGAGCTGCCATCCTTCTCTTCAGGATTAGGAATCCAAGTTGTAAGCACCCTCTCCAAAATTGAGTATTGGACTTCACTTTCATCCCCCTCTCCCATCATAGTTCAAAAGTAAAATTACATCTACGAATAGGCTTTCTACGCAGTTTCCAATATTGTTATTCCTGTTATCTAGCATTTTTATTTTTATTGGTGTTAAGAAACTTACTTAAAACCTTATTGAATTTTGCTGCAATACTTCTTTTGTGTACATGAATGAAATTTCCCCAGAGCCAGTTGCATTGTGGGAAAATTATACAAAAACTTCCTTAGTGTGAGGTTCAAGTTCCACATTCACTCTATTCCCTGTTCCCTCTGCTTTGTAAAAAACTGACAAGCACATACCAACACCTTACTGATGAAAGCCATAACCCATTTCTATTACATTCCTTCAGATTTGATTTTATGAAAACTTTAATCACTTTATTTGCTTTTCTTTTAACAATGAGTTTCTTCACATCCATCTCAACACAGAGAGACCCTAACTGTGAACAACATTTTAATGAAACTTCCCCTGAGTGAGGATGGAGGGAAGTCGTCCCACCAATGCTACTATTAATACAAAGAAATGAAACAGGCTCCATGAAGGCAGCATGCTTTATCACACAGGAAGATTGTTCTGGGGGCTTAGTCAATAATAGGCTGGAAGAAGGGGAGACTAGAGGCATGCAGAGAATCCCAGGCTTTTGAGCTTTTCCAGGGTAGAAATGATGAGAGCATGATATAGAGCAGACACAACGACAAGAGAAATGAGCAGAGGTAAAAGAGATATTGCAGACTTAGAATTGATGGCACTTGGCAACTGACCGGACACATAAGGTGAGGGAAACAGAACATTGAAAATGACTTCAAGATTGCTGTCCTAAGTTCCTGACTATTGGTTGATGCCAATAACTAAAACTGGGAACACAGAAGAAAAATCTGGCTTTGGAGAGAAGATGAGGAACTGACAAGGCCCTCCCATTTAGAGATATCCAGCAGGAAGAAGAAAATTTAATGACTTAACATTATAAAATTGTATGACATAAATTCTTAAGCATGTCCTTATCCTTACCTACTTCAAAAATTAAAATGCCTACAATTCAACACATCTGTCATGAAACTCACTATCTTCTCCTATAGCCTGCTTTCTTGCTTGTATTTCTTATCTTGAAGGATGGCAACACAATCCACGGGGCTCCCCAGCCAGAAACCTGGGTACGATTCTTAACTCCTCCTTTTCAACCATTAGATTCCTGCCACCTTCTAACTAACTCTTCAATCCTTCCACTTTTCTCCATTCCCTCTATCACAGTCTTGCTTCAGGCCATCATAATCTCTTATATGAACTACTAAAATAGCTTCTTATCTTGCCTTCTTTCTCATTCTTGCTTTTTACCAATTAACAAGTTTGGCAAAACAATCTTCCTAAATTTCAAGCCAGTTCGTAGTCTCCCTGACATTAAGCCCATTACTGACTGTTTATTATTTCCTTATAGTAAAGAGAGGCAATGACTATAAAATTCATCTGGGCCAGGCACAGTGGCTCCTGCCTATAATCCCAGCACTTTGGGAGGCCGAGACAGGTGAATCACTTGAGGTCAGGAGTTTAAGACCAACCTGGCCAACTCGGCGAAACCCCATCTCTACTAAAAATACAAAAGTTAGCTGGGCATGGTGGTGTGCACCTGTAATCCCAGCTACTCAGTAAGCTGAGGCAGGAGAATCACTTGAACCCTGGAGGAGGAGGTTGCAGTGAGCTGAGATCACACCACTGCACTGCAGCCTGAGTGAGAGAGAGACTCTGTCTCAAAAAAAAAAAAAAAATTAAAATAAAAAAAAAATTTTAATGCATCTGGTTCTGTAGATGTTCAATAAATAGTGATGGTCATGGCTGACTTTTTTTGTTGTTTTGGCATAAAGGATCTTTTGTAATTGAGTTTCTAAATACCTCTCCAGTTTTATCTTCTAACTCTGAATGGTATGTTCCAATAGTAGCAAACTGGGTAACCCCAGAAAATAGTATACTTTTTCATACCTCAGTAAATTTATACATACTATTTCCTCTTTCTGAAATGACATGTATAAAGATGCCAATTTTTCCCAATTAAATATATGGATTCAACATAATCCCAATCAAAATCTCAGAAAGTTATTTTGTGGATATTGATAAACTGGTTCTAAAGTTTATATGGAGAAACAAAAGACCCAGAATAATTAACACAATACTGAAGGAGAAGAACAAAGTTGGAGGACCAACACTACCTAACTTCAAGACTTACTATAAAACTACAGTAATCAAGACAGTGAGGTACTGGTGAAAGAAGACAAACAGATCAATTGTACACGATAGCCTAGAAACACACCCATATAAATATGCTTGACTGATCTTTGACAAAAGAGCAAAGACAATACAATGGAGAAAAGACAGTCTTTTCAACAAATTGTCCTGGAATAACTGGACATCCCTATTCGAAAGAAAAAAAAAAGAATCAATAAAAAAAAAGAACCAAGACACAGACCATAACCCTTCCCAAGAATTAACTAAAAATGAATCACAGACTTAAATGTAAAAATGTAAGATGCAAAACTATAAAACTCCTAGAAGACAATGTAGGAGAAAATCTAGATAACTCTGGATAGTGATGACTTTTTAGATATAACACAAATGCACAAACCATGAAAGAAAGAATTGATAAGCTGGACTTATTAAAATTTACTTGTGCCAGTAAACAAGTTTGGCACTGATGGGACCCCCATTTAGAGACATCCAGCAGGAAGAAGAAAATTTAATGATGCAATATTATAAAATTCTATGATATAAATGCTTAAAAATGTCTATATCCTTACCTACTTATAAAATTAAAATGCCTTAAATTCAACACACTTATAATGAAACTATCTTCTCCTATAGCCTGCTTTCTTGCTTGTATTTATTTCTTTTGAGATGGAGTTTAACTCTTGTTGCCCAGGGTGGAGTGCAATGGCACAATCTTGGCTCACTGCAACCTCCACCTCCCAGGTTCAAGCGATTCTCCTGCCTCGCCTCCCATGTAGCTGGAATTACAGGCATGCATCACCACGCCCAGCTAATTTTGCATTTTTATTAGAGACAGGGTATCACCACATTGGTCAGGCTGGTTTGGAACTCTTGACCTCAAGTGATCCACCTGCCTCAGACTCCCAAAGTGCTGGGATTATAGGTGTGAGCCACCAAGCCCAGCCTCTTGTTTATATTTCTTATCTTGAAGGATGGCAACACATCCTTCAGATATGCCTATCACAAGAGGTATCAGATAAAGGAGTATTATCTAAAGTAATTTAAAAATTCTTAAAAGCCAACAATAACAAAACAATCAATTTGATTAAACAGATATATCCCACCAATGAAGATATACACATGGTAAATAAGTAGATGAAAAGATGCTCCACATATGTCATTAGGGAACTGCAAATTAAAACAACAACATGATACCCACTACATGTATTAGAATAGCCAAAATCCAAAATACTAACAATACCGAATGCTGCTAAGGACGTGATACAACAGGAGCTCTCATCATTGCTGGTACAGCCACTTTGGAAGACAGTTTGGCAATTTTGTACAAAACTAAATATACTCTAACCATACAATCCAGCAATCACACTCCTTGGTATTTATCCAGATGAACTGAAAAATTATGTGCACACAAAAATCTGCACACAGATGTTTATACCAGCTTATTCATAACTGTCAAAACTTGAAAGCACCCACAGGTGAATGGATAAACTGTGGTATACTCAGAAAATGGAATACTATTCAGAGCTAAAAAGAAATGATCTATCAAGCCATGAAAAGACAGGGAGGAAACTGAGATGCATTTTAAGTGAAAGAAGTCAATCTGGAAAGGTTGTATACTACAAAATTCCAACTATAGTACATTCTGAAAAGGGCAAAATGTAGGGAGACAGTAAAAACATTAGCAATTGGCAGGAGGAAGGGATTAATTGGCAGAGCACAGTGGATTTTTAAGGCCAGAAAATAATACCACAGTGCATGATGTGGATATATGTCATTATACATATATCAAAACCCATGAAAAATACAACACTAACAGTGAACCCCAATGTAAACTATGGACTTTAGGTGATAATGATGTGTCAAAGTAGTGTCACTGATTGAAACAAATGTACCACAGTAAGGCAGGATCTTAACAGTAGGAGAGGCTGGGAAGGAGCCAGGGTATGTATGGAGCCTCTCTTTACTTTCCACTCAATCTTACTATGAACCTAAAACTGCTCTAAAAAGTAAAGCCTATTTTTAAAAGTAGGTGGGGTCCTCTTTTTTTAACCCAATCTCTTCGCAAATTAGTGGTTTATCCCCTGGAGGTAAAAATTGACCTTTCTTCTCCAAAATAAACAAATTGGAACAATTCCTTCTGATCTTAATCCCTGAAATTTTAATATATGGAGCCTGGAAGTGACTGTTGATGAAGTTTATTCCACATGTGACCTTCTACATACTCCTATGCATATCTCTTTCCGGCATGGTGTGGGTTTGGGATGCTACAACCAAGCACCCAGTGGTCACACAAACAGAAGCATGATAGCCCAGGGTCTGACCAGACTTCTCCCTGTGCTTGTTTGTGTTTGTTTTATTCTCTTTTGCTTTATTTTTCAACTGTTCAATACATTGTAGAACATGATTTTGAAATGCCCAAGTCATTTTTACTTCTCAGTATTTGTAAATTTATAGATATAACTGAAATAATTTCAAATAACAGATACACTTATATAAATGGTTATATCAATAAAAACACAGTAATTAAAAATAATAGCTGTCATAGGGCCGGGCATGGTGGCTCACACCTGTAATCCCAGCACTTTCGGAGGCTGAGGTGCGCAGATCACAAGGTCAGGAGTTTGAGACCAGCCTGACCGGCATAGTGAAACCCCGTTTCTACTAAAAAAAATACAAAAAATTAGCTCGGCGTGGTGGCAGGCACCTGTAATCCCAGCTACTTGGGAGGTTGAGGCAGGAGAATAGATTGAACCCAGGAGGCGAAGGCTGCAGTGAGCCAAGATCGCGCCACTGCACTCCAGCCTGGGCAACAGAATGAGACTCTGTCTCAAAACAACAACAACAACAACAACAACAACAACAACAAAACGCTGTCATGGTTAAAAAAAAATACCAGTATATACGTTAATTTCTCCAGAAAATTTACCCTTAACTACTCAAGCCAATTACTTGCTCTTCCAAGACACTGCTATAATAATATTTCTATTATTGTACTCATCATATAGTATTTCCTTATCTTTCATATCCAAACTTCTCAGATTACTTCTTTGAGGCTAAGTATGATCTGATCCTGTTTATCTTAAAACTTTGTTATGTAACTTTTTGTTGAATGAATACTTAAAAATGATAAATGAATGAATTACAAGAAGCCATAAATTAGACTTAATAGATGCTAACTATTAAGGAGAAAATGCTCTCAATTTTTGTCATCCTAGTGAACAAGAAATAAATATCAACATTTGTACTATAGGCAGTTTTATGCTGGACTTTATGTACTACCATTTAATGTACATTTCATTTTACATAAAATTAGATGAGTAATTAAAAATATAATGAAGTTTTCTTATTCTGTTAACAGCTATTCCTTTTTAAAATAAATATTCTACTTGGGAAAGTATAATTAAAGTCTTACTCTTGTTTAATAATACAAATAAAACTGAATTCTGTCTAAGGAAAAACAGGAAAGATTTATTAACCAGCATGTTTTTATACTTATAGTTTGTTCTATCTGTTCAGCCTACAGCATACATTTTTGTAAAAACTTCAAACACTTTCTATATGGAGTACTTCCAACTGCAAAGGCCTAATAGAAAAAGCTACCCCAAGAATGTGTCCCCTTTACATCTGTGCCTCATACCACAATGCAAAAGATAAAGTGGTCCCCAATGAATCACTCTCTATAACTGGCAAAAGTTATTGCAAATTTAAATGGAAAATTTAAGGCCATTAAAATAATCTGGTGAAATCAAGAAAATTCTTCAAAATCTCCTTCTTCAGTTTCAGCAAAGGTACCACCTGACAAAAAGTGTACTCAAACAGTCTTTTTGGGCTCAACAAGGATGTCAGCTAGGGCACTCAACTATATTTACAACAAAGCAGTATCAGAAACATTCTTTACTGTGAATAAACAATAAGCTCATTCAAAACAGACAGAAAAAGATCCTGGAGAATTGAAGCCATTATGTCTCAAAAAGTGAATTTCTAAAAAGAAAGGTTTCTAGCAAGTTAGAAAATGATAGATTTTGTCACTGAAGACTGAAACTGTATTGACAGCTCTCTATAACTGGCATAGTACACATCAACTAAAAAATGTACTCTAAAGCATTTGTGCCGAAACACTGCTTAATAGTCCCTGCTGATAAAATTTATTCATGTATACTATAAAAGTAAAAAGCCATTCGAAATAATAAAAAGAGATGACATGCTGACTTTAATCTTGGGGCTGGAACCACCACAACGCCCTTAGAGATAAATATGAAGCAAATCTCAGCTGCTGCCAACTATGGTGTGTGTTACACAGAACCTGGAGAGCTCTAACTGGTCCCTCTCTGTTCTCCTGAATTACTCCATTGTTGAAATCAACAAATCCAGGAGAGAGCCCAGCACCACAACCAAGACATACAAAAAGCTTTCAATTACAAACACCGCAATAGATTTAGCTTAGTGGTCACAGTTGGCTGCAAACCGTTTCTCTGAGAAGGAAAAAGAAGACTTTATCTACCAAGGTGGTTATAAACATTAGAGAATAATTTTGGAATGCAGGGTCAAGAAGACCAGAATGTGTGCTTTTCATTCAAGGATTCACGAGCTTTTATTACTGGTCTAATTTAATCAAAGATAACGCATTGTTTAGAAACAAGCAATTGAAAGCTGGTATGAAAAAGAAGGAAGTGAGAAATCAGTAGCAAATAAGTAGCAGCTGATGTCCCCATAGCTAAAATGCATGACAGAGAATTCCCTGGGCTCAATCCAAGTATTACCCATGCAGGCCTCTATCTTTTCTCTCTTAAAAAGTATCTTCTTAGAAAATGTGCATATTAAGAAAGAATTTAAATACAACAGAAGAGAAAAATAAGAGTTTCATATGATATTCCACAATTCCGTGTTATCAAATAGCAGAGTCCAAAAGGTTTTAGGCAATGCCAAAGGCCATCGGGTTATCTGCTTTTAGAAAATACAATATCTGAAACATTTAATAGAAATACTACCTAATCTTGACCAGGTATGGTGGCTCATGCTGGTAATCACAGCCTTTTGGTAGACTGAGGCAGATGGATCACTTGAAGTCCAAGACCAAGAACTTGAAGTTCAGGACCAGCCTGTCAACATGGTGAAACCCCATCTGTACTAAAAATACAAAAATTAGCCAGGCGTGGTGGCACATACTCCTGTAATCCCAGCTACTCGGGAGGCTGAGGCAGGAGAATTGCTTGAACCCAGGAGTCAGAGGTTGCAGGGAACCGAGATTGTGCCATTGCACTCCAGCCTGGGCGGCAGAGCGAGACTCTGTCTCAAAAAAAAAAAAAAAAGAAAAGAAATACTACCTAATCTTAATGATACTCAACACTGATAATTATACAAAAGAAAAGAAATACTACCTAATCTTAATGATACTCAACACTGATAATTATACAGCCTTCTTTAGTAGCCTGGTATGTGTTTAATAACCCGTTAAATTCAGAAATTATAATTAACTATTTTCTGTTGCTCCATTATAAGCCCATTTTCTCCATTTGATTTTTGTTGCATCAATATATTACAGTAGGTAGTTAGGCATGAGCAGGGCAGAAGAGGGCTCCCCTCGCCTACTAGAAATGTCAGGCAACCATACAGTAGGTAGTTAGGCATGAGCAGGGCAGAAGAGGGCTCCCCTCGCCCACTAGAAATGTCAGGCAACCATCAGGTGATGGTCCCACAGTTGACACACCACTTCTCTAAAAATGATCATTGGTCACAGGCGCCAAAAAGAGGCAATTTCACAATAGATAAAAACACTTGAAATTGGTAACTGGCAGCTCAGGAATTGGGCAAGTAGGCTTGGGCATGTGCATTAAGAGACAAAATGGCAGAGTATGACCTTCCAGGGGCATTCCACTGAAAAAGGGAAGAAAGCCTCAAGTGAGCATGTGTACAACTTCTTAAACACACTGCGCATGCTCACCTCCCAAGGGTTAGCAGGCCACTGCGCATGCGGGCAGCCCACCCTAAGAGATGGGAAAAGGTAAACAAGGCCCTGTAAGGATGCCAACATATAAAACTCCAAATCAAAAGGTCATACGCCACCATTGACCTCCAAAGTGCCCGTTTAGGTCTCTTCCAAGTGTACTTTCCTTTGTTTCCTGCTCTAAAGCATTTTAATAAACTTCCATTCCTGCTCGGAAACTTGCCTTGGTCTCTTTTTCCACTGCATGCCCCTCGGTCGAATTATTTCTTCTTAGGAAGCAAGAATTGAGGTTGCCATAGATTCGTATAGCTTTGCTGCCAGTAACTCGGATATTTGCCACCACTAACAAATATATTATTTCACATGCTTGAAGGAGTTAAAAGGAGTCAATCATCTTACCTAATTTTCTAAGGACAAAATGAAGACCCAAGCCTTTTCAACTCTAGTCCTAGAACCCATTTTCTATTATTTTCATCATTTTTATTGCCCTTTACTGAAACCACTTAAATTTTTAAAACCAAACCTATTCCACTAACAAAAACTGGGTCAAACTATGTCAAAATCAAAGACTGAGGTCAGGCACAGTGGCTCACTCTGTAAATCCCAGCACTTTGAGAGGCTGAGGAGGGAGGACCACTTGAGCGCAGGCATTCCAGACCAGGTTGGACCACACAGTGAGACACCTCCATCTCTACAAAAAAATATATATATATTATATATATATATATATTTAATTAGCTGGGTGTGGTGGCTCACACCTGTAATCTCAACACTTTGGGAGGCAGAGTTGGAAGAACTGCTTGAGCCCAGGAGTTTGAGGCTGCAGTGAGGTTTGATTGTGTCACTTAACTCCAGCCTGCATGACAGAGCAAGACTGTCTCAAAAAAAAAAAAAAAAATCCTGAAAAAAATAGTTAATAATATCAGCTTATTGATTGTATAGTCCCTTACTTTTCAAGACATTTTCAGCTTTTTTCTCTTTTAGACTCATTAGACCCTTTCAAGTTAGAAACTTGAGATAATATTCCTGATCTTGCAAATGATACTGCATGGGCAAAAATGTTCATATTTTTTTTCTTTTAAACTTCAATTACTTACATAAAGCAGAGGAAACACAGGAGGAAAAGAGTATAAAGAGCCACAGTTAAGGTAGAGGAGGAGAAAGTAGAGGGAAGTCCCTTCAGGTGGCTCATTCTTTTTAGTAAATAGGTGAGAATGATGGATAAAGTGTGGCTTTCAAGATCTGAGGCAAGAGGGAGCAGTTAGAACAGCCACTGGCAGACCCCCTCCAGAAATAAAGGACAAACAACTAAAACACTGTAACTGCCTCATTTCCTGTTCACCTAGCCTAAGGCTTCTTTTGATTTTTCTCTTTTTCAGTTGAGTTTTGAAGCAGTCTCCAATGTATTGTTGTGCTTCTGCAATAAGAAGGATTTAAATCTTGATCAAACTAAGGAGTGATCCACTAATCTTATTTCTGATATTAATGTACTTTAAACCCTAAGAAAATTAATGAACAAGAGGCTTAGGTATTTCAGGACAGAACTGGAAGAATCAGAGTACAAAACAAATGGCATGGAGTAGCCAGTAAGAGGAAAGTTAAGACTGGGTCTAGAGATGATGTTTTAACAGTTTATCGTTAGAGGAATTTGATGTTAGAATTCCCTAAATGTTGCCAGCTAGTGACTATCTGGGCCCGGTGGCACAGGCAGTAAGGAAATTTAACAAGACAATAGTAGATAAAGAAAAGCAGATTTATTAGAGAAAGTATGAAAATATGTTGTAAGACAGGCAGCACAGCAGAGAAGGGGGCTGTCCGCAAAGATGCAGGGGCTGGAGGGAAGTTTTACAGGGTCATGCTAGAGGGGGTACCTGGAGAACAAGGTCACTGTGCCTGCAGAAGTAGGTCGAGATCACTGTGCCCTTGTGTTGTTTGTGATTAGCCATCTCTCAGAACAGTTGTTCACTGTTCTTCCCCATCTGGGGCCCTTCCTCCTTGTTGCTTACTTATCAGGACTCCACACAAAACATCATGTACAAGTTTTTATTCATTTGTGTTGTATGTTATTACTGTCCAAAATATTTTAATTTTATAGAAAGCACAAGCAAGGGTATTTAGTGAAATGTGCCTGTTTTTTCTCACACAGTTATTCAAGGCAGATATGTCTTACCACTCTGCTTATATTATCCTACTGAGGTACCACTAATTACCCCATAGCATAGGCATACCTCAAGTAAAAGAAAACTCAAGGGGAATTTAAGTCTCTCTAGAATTTAATTTGAAATCTCATTCCCTTAAGTGATGGAAATATCACAAAAGAATAACGTAGGTTTAAAGAAGGTAAAGAAGAAAAGACCTAATTTAGCAGCCTCATTTTTTATATATGCTACAGGGACTGCATAGTAGCAAATTTTCCATATGTATCTTACTTGTGTGGAGAAAACATTTTAAAAATATGGTTCTAAGTTAATGAAATTGTGTAGCAAATGGAGTACCTAAAATCTGTCTTAAAGGGACTTTTTTTTTTAACAAAAATATACTTTTAGATGTACCAGAAAAATAAAATTTCAAAGTGAGAGTCATCAGCTAAACTCTGTTTATTTCAATGTGTGGATTATTTCAAAACATGAAATTTATTTTAACATGTAGATGATACAAAAACCATTGTATTTTGTCAGCTTGATGATATCTTTCACCTTTTCTTGAGCATAAAAATAACCTATTGACTAAATTCAACATCGACAAGAAGTTTTACTTTAGATCAACACATCATGAAGTCCTCATTAATATACACCTGTGAAGAGCAGGTGTGTTGAACAGAAAGATATTATTTTGCATAATAAAACTGACACACTATCAACAGCCTAAATGTGTAATAAATGAATCACGTGTATGGTTTATTTTTCAAGGCATCATAAATGAAGTACAACTTTACCAAAATTTGGTATTTTCACTTGATGAGATGAAAAATGGTATAGATGCCTTCATGCAAAAACAAGGTCATAAGATAGCATTCTTAAATTCATTTGATATAAAAAGTTCTACTTCTAAACAGACATGTCATCTGACTCTTCTAATAAAACATATCAGTTTTTAAAAATAGTAGCATAAGTAGGAATTTTAGGTTGTGTAGACAAAATTTCAGAAAAAGACCCATTGCACTGCACATGATGCATGAGTATCACGTATTCCTTAAATGCTTATTCTTCCTTGTCTACTCACAACTCCACACCTCCTGGAAAACGGAATATTTTTGGTATCATCTTAAATGCTTACATATAGGTCTATTTCATGCACAAGTAGACTAGGAACTCCCTGAGGGCAGTAAAAGCACACCTGGCTACCTGCCTTCCCTGACATCACCTTCCCAAGTAAAACCTATTGCCCAAGGGCCTCGAGATGGATGGTAGGACCCTCTCCCCACCAGTGAGTGAAGCAAATAATGTCCTGTTCCCAAGGATGTACTACATTACTGGCCATGTATTTTGACCTCTGATTAAATAAAGGTGCCATGTAAAGTGTTGTAACTTCTATTTGCACCACCTAGTGTGCAAATAGATCTCAAATTTATCCTTCCAGCACAGGTTCTGGAAGTCTCACTGAAAAAATTTTCAGGAAATAATGAAATTTTAAATTATAATAATAAGTAAAATAATGTATAGTAATAATGTATAGTTAATATTTTTGATGTGCCATAAGTCACTTCAGAGTGATATAGTACTCCTTAAGGACATGTCAATAAATATTCAATTATTCCTATTTCAGAAAAGCATGAGATTTCTAGTTACGAGAAACTACAAATAAAAGAAAACTGAACGAAGCACAGCCTTTGCAATAGGAACATTAACAAGTATACATTCATATTTTAGAGTGACAATTGGATAAATACAAATAGTATTTAGGGAGGCTATAGAAAAGCTGCACAAAAATGCATAAGAAATGAAAACACATTCTTCTTAAATTTGTCAAACAATCTACACTTACATTGTCAAGATGAAATATGATAACAAATGAAATAAAACTGAGCTCTCTGGAAGACTTTAAATTCTACCAATGCAAGTTTCCAGAAACATGATTAAAATCTTTTTTTCTCCTGAGATTCAGAGCGGAAAGGTTTTTCCTCCTATTTTTCTGCATGACAGTCTCTGCAGATTACAAACAGACGCAGGGGATCATTCTAAAAACCTTGGAGAAGAAATCAGCATTTTGAGATTCGTCTACTAATGTATGTCATAACCTCATATGCAGCTGGGCTATTCTCCATGCTCATTACTACTAAGATGACCTTAGTCATGCATTTCCCTCCTGTTCCCTTTCCCAAATGTTCACGTTCTTCCTTCAATCCCAGCATTTCCCAAACTGTACTCTGCAAAACATTAGAGACCCAGGAGATACAAAGTGGATATTTCTGTCAAATAAATTTGGAAAATATTTCATGGGATATCTCCTCTCAGAAATCACAAACTATAGTTTGGGGCAGAATAAGAAGGCCCTTGAAAGACAGGCTAAAGAGGTAGATTTTATTCTGGAGGCCAAGGTGAGAACTGTAGAGGATTTTCAGCAGGGAGAGAGAGGATTAATCTCTTTCATGGAGAATGCATATTATGCTGGGAGGGCAGTATTGGGGAAAAAATTCAACAGATCATCAAAATAATCATGCAAGACAAGCCAGTAACTAAAATTCGAGAGTAGATTAAACAATTTCTTCAGAGAATGAAAAGTGCCTAGTGAAATCTAGATGTGGCACAAGGGAAAGGATGGAGATAAAGATGGCCTAAGTTCTCTATGATCACTATTTTCTCAGTAAAACAGAAAGCAAAATAACCTGAGTAAGGGAGAAGATACAAATTTCAAGAAACGAGAGGAAAATAACAAAGGTCAAGTTCTGAGTCAACTCCTGTGGGCAACAGGAGTACATCCTGTATTATTATTATTAAAATAATATCCTGTATTATTTTTAATTTTTTTTTGTAGAAACAAGGTTTCCCTATATTGCCCAGGCTGGTCTCAAAGGATGCTGGCTGCTTATAAGTAAAATAACTCCTTAACATCATCATGCATGGAGCCGTTACTGACTCAGCCATGCTATCTTTTCCTCCTCTAAATCCCTTATAGCACTTTTTTTTTTTGGTACCTCCCTAGGATACTTTAAAATCTGTGTTATATTTTTACTTATACACTTTTTTTACTTTCTTCTACTAGATTTTAGTTATTTGACTGGGGGAGAGAGAGAAGTTATTAGGTCTTATTTATCTGTATTATCTTTCATAAAACATGCTATATGGTAGGTGTTTAAAACATCTATGTGAAATTGAAGGTACAATTACATGTCATAGAATATATGCAACCTTGCTTCAAAATCCACCTTTCTGATCCTCGTTCCTCTATAGGATAGATGTATCTTCCACCGTCTCTCTTATTTCAAGATCTTCTCCGTCTTTGATTTTTGGCAGTTTGAATATGATGTGCTCAGGTGTGGGCTGTTGGTATTTGGTTTTTGTTTGTTTTGATATTTATGCTACCTGGTATTCTCTGAGCTTCCTGTGTTTGTGGGTTTCTATCTGTCATTAATTTTAGAAAGTTGTTAGCCATTATCACTTCAAATATTTTTCTCCTTTATCTCTTTCTCCTCCTGTTATTCCAATTATGGGTATGTCACACCTTTAAAAATTGATCCACAGTTCTTAGATGCTCTATTCTGATTTTTTTTTCCTTCATTCCTTTTTTCCCTTACATTTCAATTTGGGAAGCTTCTATTGACCTATTTTCAAACTTATTTATTCTTTCCTCATCCTTATCAAGTCTATTGATACACTGAAGGCATTCTTCATTTCTGTTACAGTGTCTTTGATTTATAGCATTTCCTTTTAATACTTTTTTTTTTTTTTCAGATGTAGTCTCCCTCTGTCGCCCAGGCTGGAGTACAGTGGCATGATCTTGGCTCACTGCAACCTCTGCCTCCCAGATTCAAGCAATTCTCCTGCCTCAGCCTCCAGAGTAGCTGGGATTATAGGCACACACCACCAAGCCCAACTAAAAAGTAGAGACGGGGTTTCACCATGTTGGCCAGCCTGGTCTTGAACTCCTGACCTGAAGTGATCTGCCTGCCTCAGCCTCCCAAAGTGCTGGATTACAGGCATAAGCCACTGTGCCTGGCCTCCTTTTAATTTTTTATTCGAGTTTTCGACTCCATTCTTACATAGCCCATCTGTGCTTGCATGTTGTCTACTTCTTAAATTAGAGTCCTTAATATATTAATCAGTTATTTTAAACTGCCTGTCTTATAATTCCAACCTCTGTGTCATCTATGATAAGGGCTCTGATGATGGCTTTGTCTCTTCAGACTGTGTTCTTTCTTGCCTTTGGCATGCCTTATAAGTTTTTGTTGAAAGTGGACATGTTATAATGGGAAATAGGAATGAGGTACATGGGCTTTTGGTATGAGGATTTATGTTCTGCTGGCTATGTGTTGGGCTGTCTAACGTTTGCTGTAGGGTGCTAGAGGTATAAAATTTCTGCAGTGCCCTTGTTTTCATCTTCCCTTTTAACTATGGGTTTCTTTAAGTACTCTTCCTCGGAGGGAATTTGTGTCTTGAAGTTCTTTCAGCTGTCATCTGCTGTTATTAAACTGGAGACGTGCCAGTGTGATAGTGAAATGGGGGCAAGGAGTAGCATTCTATAATCTCTGATTATACTAAACCTCTGTTTAATCAGAGATTACAGAATGTCTTTTAGTGAGTCTTTGTCTCTAGCCTGTGACCTTTACAAGTTTTTTCATGAATTGTTTTTTCCAATTCCTTCAGTGAAGCAGGAAGGCTACAGGGCCCAGGCAGTAATATCCTACTCCCATGGCTGCAGCACAAGGCTCTGATACAGTCTTTCACCCTGGAGTGTGGACATTTTATTAAAAAAAGGCTCTGGGTACATTTTAGGATGATTACTTGTCCACTTCTCCCACCAGGGCCATGAGGGAATCATTCTCAGATCATCTGTGAGAAACTGGTGGGGTTCCTTATAGGTAAAGCCCATGAACACTGGTGGGGAGGTAGGTAGGAGTTTCTAAGTCACACCCTGCTGAATACTTAGTCTTCAGCAATTTATCAAAATTGCCATTTAAACTGTTCCTACCAGTTTATGACTCTAGCAGCTTCTTCTCCAGGTAAATAGATCTTGGCTGAGACTCTCTGGAGGCACCTGTCTCCAGATTTCAGGGAGGGGGTTTGCCCTGTAACCTCAAATATCTGCTTCAGGGTCCAAGAAAAGTCACTAGTTTTTCAGTTTGTCCAGTTTTTTCTTGTTCTAACGATGTGAATAATAACGTCTTTTTTTTTTTTAAGACATGGTCTTGTTCTGTCACCCAGGCTGGAGTGCAATGACACAATCACAGCTCACTACAGCCTCAAACTCCTGGGCTCAAGCAATCTTCCTACCTCAGCCTTCTGAGTAGCTGGGATTACAGGCACTTGCCACCACACTTAGCTTTTTTTTTTTTTTTAAATTATTTTGTAGAACAAGGTTTCCCTATATTGCCCAGGCTGGTCTCAAACTCCTGGGCTCAAACAATCCTCCTGCCTTGGCCTCCCAAAGTGTTGGGATTACAGGTGTGAGCCACCACACCTAGCCAAGATTAACAACTTCCTTGATCTTAAAATGTCAGAACTGAAACTGGGAGACTCAATATCTAATTTTTATATTAATCCAGTGTTAAAGTGCACGTGTGTGCACGCACACACACACGCGCGCACGCACACACACAGCATTCTTTCAGATTTGTATTCTCAACAAGGGCTAAGGAAAGAAAATGTATGAATAGAGCATATTCAAAGGTGCTAATGATAGAGAGCAACTTAAGGATATTACAATAGTGCAAACCTGGTATTTAGAGTAAGAAGATTCAGCCATGAACCTTTCAGATGTACTAAGTTGATTATTTAACTCCTCTAATCCTAATTCATTAAAATAGATATGAAATCACTTTTGGTCATAACACATGTGGTCCTAATAATTATTATCATAACTCCAGGTGACATTTTCATTTTAAAATAACAGGCCAAGAGTGACAATGCTTTATATTTATGAATGTAATCACTAATTTAAAAATTTCAGAAAACAAGGAGAATCAATATTCTTTGTATAGTTATCTCAATTTTTTTCAGTTAAAGAAAAGCAGATACATTTATATATAAAATTTCCATTACTAATAATGGAAATTTTCCAACATATACAAAAACAGAGAAAAATAATGGACCACTATATGCTCATAATTGATTCTCAATAATTATCAACATTTCTGCCATGAAGTCTCATCTCTCCCTCCCCCTCTTTTTTTTCCAGAGTACTTTAAAGCAAATCCCAGACAATATGCGAATACTTCAGTATGTATCTCTATGGGATAGAAAAGTCTCTCCACTGGGTACAGTGACTTTGCTCTCACTCACTTTGGAGGAGAAGTGAACTACTTTTCCTGTGTATGAACGACAGCAGCATGTTTTCACCACTAGTGTTGCCATTTGGAAACTTAAGCATGAATGGAAGAGTGAGTGTGAGTGGTGAGAAATCAAATTGATGAACTGAGTTGGATAGTGTGTATGGATTCTCTTATCTGCCCTCCTACCCTCAGTCTAGATCACTGGAGAGGTCAATAATAAAACATTTCTCTTGCAGTTCAAATTCTGGATGAGAATTCGCTTCTGCAAATTAGAAGCAATTCATCTAAGATAATGAACACAGAAGCGAAGCAGAAGCCATTTTCCTACATCCTTTCGACTGTTTTAACTGCAAACAAAGATAAAGAAATGCAAGGTGTTAGCAGTGCTTTTTGTGGCACTTTCCAATTTTCTGGGTGTCAAGAGGCAATTGTGACTACAGCATTAGCAGTGTAACTCTGGCTTCCTGATTACTGGATTGCAGCAAGAGGAGTATATTCATAACACACAGTTGCAGCAACCATATTAGCTATAACTGGCTCTTGGGTGGATCATTTCTGTACTCCCTAAAGTCATTCCAGCAAGAACAGCCTAGAACTCATATCTTAGATCTTCCAACTATTTTATAAGCATCAAATTCTCTTGTATTAAATATCTTCCTGTTTTAAATAAATGTAATTTTTGTTTCCTGGACTAAATCCTGACTCACACGCTATTTGATGTATCTGTGTGTCTGTGGAACTAATACTAAAGTTTCATGAAAATCCCCTTTTTATGTGTGATACATTAATTTTTCTATTTTACTTGTCCTATTTACAATTCTCTTAAGTCTATAGTCACTCTTAAATTTCCATGCTATTCTATGTCTATTCATTAAATAAAATGCTAATTGCAATGTTTAAAATCTACTTCATGACCCACCAACAGGTTGCAAGCTTCAGTTAAAAGACACTGCTTACAGCATGATCTTATTAAGAGAGCCGAAGTATACTGCAGAATATCACAACTGCATTACTTATTTTTCTTTTATTCCATCCTGGTCTTCATGATAGACAATCGAAGCTTTTCCAGCTATCATCTTATTGGCCTCTACCTAAATAGGAGACAGCATTCAGGCAAGTCTCCACATAGCTAAAAAATGTTTTCAACAAATAAGCAAAAATGGAGAACAGAAAATAAGAAGAAGAAAATCGTACGACTGACATTAAGGTTTGGGGGAAAACTGCTCTTGATCTAAAAAGAATGCAAGGTTTTTTTATAAAACCATTTTCTGAAAGCTTTCATTGACCAGACTTGATTTTGTTATTAAAACATACCTCCAGAAACCATATGCAGTGTTTGATTCTTTTTCCTCCATCTACTTATTAGTCAAACAGAAATAAATCTAATATGGACCAAAAGAACTTTTAAAAACTAAACATCCTTAAATCTTGTTATATGAATAGTGAACTATATTCAGATTTTGGTTCTTGATTCCAAAACCAATAAAATCACAGCAAAATGTTAAATGAATCCACAGATCTCAGAGGATAACAGATCATAAAACTCCCACAGATTTGGCAAGGTGGCAGTCACTGACAGAAGGAGAAAAGATATATAAATATAAGCTAAAATTTCACATTTTTTCCTATGCTAAAAAATTGGGCTCTATGTACAATGTGGAGTATTTAAATATAAAACATTTTTCTATTTTAACAAATATATAGCATTAATGAGTACTACATTCATGCATTATATGTTCTCTTTACTATAGGAAAAATATTTTTAATTAATTTGAATCATTAATTGAAGCTCAGCAGGCTTAAACTTTGATTTTAATGTTTTGAATAGAAATCTGAAAAATGTAGTACCCTCTTTTACGCCTAATAAAACAGAATAAACTGAATATTAATTAGTCTTTTGATGCTTCAGATTTCTCATTATCATAATCAATTACCATCCCCATGCTGAAATACTGCACTGAGCTCAGGAGTTATTGATATGTGGCAAAATATTATAGTGAAAACATCATGGATGTTGGTGTTAAACACAGCCTGGTTCAGATCATGGTACTCACAACTTTCTAGCCCTGTGATATTGTGCAAATTAATTAACATCCCTGCATTTAGGTCTCATCTGCTATAGAACAGAAATCATAATGCTCTACTCTTAAGGTTGTTAAAAAGATTAAACAAAAATATAGGCAAGAAAGTAAAGCATTTTTTCTTGCTATTAACACTATAAAATCAAGTATCTCTTACTTCTCAAACTAGAATATTCCATAATTCTGAATAATTGATACAAATGTACAAATAATTGGTAAATGCAGCACTACTGTATTTGTAGACTCAAATACCATAAACTTTTAGAGTTCAAAGGACAAAATACGACCGGGTGTGGTGGCTCATGCCTGTAATCCCTGCACTTTGGGAGGCTGAGGCTGGCAGACCAATTGAAGTCAGGAGTTCGAGACCAGCTGGACCAACGTGGTGAAACCCTGTGTCTACTAAAAATGTGAAAATTAGCTGGCTGTAATTCCAGCTATTCGGGAGGCTGAGGCATGAGAATCACCTGAACCTGGGAGGCAGAGGTTGTAGTCTCAAAAAAGAAACAAAGGACAAAACACGATGTGTGAGAAATTTACACCTTAATTTTAAATATATTTAGAATAAATGCTATTGTATTGCTTAGAATATTTTTTTAATTAATGCTGTATTTTAAAAATGTTATTATGTTTATTGATATTATATAGATATAACTAATTTTTATTTTAATCTTGTATACCAGAAATCTTGCTAAATGGGACTACAGCTAGCAAAGGACATACAAAAATCTCTAAAGATAACTTCATAAAATGTTATTGAGACATTTAAAAAGACCTGGATAAATGAAAATATACACTATTTATATGGATTGAAGAGTAAATATAAAGATGACAGTTTTCTCCAAATTACCATGGACTAAATGTTATCCCAGTCTAAATTCACAAAAAAGTTTCTGTGGAAACTGACTGATTCTCAAATTTATATGCAAACGCAAAAGGCCAAGAATAAAAAACAAGGCAATTTTGAAGAACAATGTGTAAGAACTTTATGAGATATGAATATTTATTATAAATAAATAGCAATGAAGATAGTGCAGCATTGGTATATAGCATCACAAAAACAAAAGACAAATGGGACAGACCAGAAAAACCTAGAAACAGACCCATACATATATGAATCATTGATTTAAGACAAAACTGGCACACTTCATAGAAGCAGAAAAAGGACAGACTTTTCAATGACAATATTGAGACCACTAGATGTCCATATGGAAAAAAAAATGGAATTGGATCCTTCTCTGACACACACAAAAATCAACTTCAGGTAAGTTTTCAGGACTTAATGTGAACACAAGCAAAATATAAAACTTTTAGGATACAGGAGAAAAATCTTCATGACCTTGAGGTGGGAAAGATTTCTAAAATGACACACAAAAAGCACTAACCATCAAGGAAATAACTGATAAATTTGGCTAAATTGAAAAAAAACTTTTGCTCAACAGAAAACATAATGAAGAGTGAAAAGACATGGTGCAGAATGAGACAGGACACTGTGACCCATAGAAGCAATTAGGTTTCCAGTCAAACTACATATATAAATTGTACAAACTGATAAGAAAAGATAGCTCACTAGAATGAAAAATAGACAAAGGACTTGAACACATACTTAAAAATAAAAAATTAGGCCAGGAGCGGTGGCTCATGCCTGTAATCCCAGCACTTTGGGAGGCCAAGGCGGGCGGATCACGAGGTCAGGAGATCGAGACCATCCTGGCTAACACGGTGAAAACCCGTCTCTACTAAAAAAAAAAAAAAAAAAAAAAAATTAGCCAGGCATGGTGGCGGGTGCCTGTAGTTCCAGCTACTCGGGAGGCTGAGGCAAGAGAATGGCGTGAATCCAGGAGGCAGAGTTTGCAGTGAGCCAACAGCATGCCACTACACTCCAGCCCAGGCGACAGAGCAAGACTCTGTCTCAAAATAAAAAAATTAAAAAATTAAAAATTAAAGAGTAAGGTATACTACTACTATTTAGGAATGCATTAAATAATATTATTTTAAAGGTAACAGAATGATTACTGTTAAATCAGGAACAGTGGTTACCTCTAAGAATTAGAGACTTCTGAGGTGAAGACAATATTCTACTTCTTAATGTAGGAGGTGGTTTACACAGGTGTTTATTTTATAATTACTCGTAATTATACACAATATAAGACAGTTTTACACACTTTTGTATATATTTTGTAATATAGCAGACTGTCTTAATTGTACTAAAAGAACTCAGTGACAATTTTCCAGACAACACAGGCTATATAGCCCAAAATAAAGATTCTCCTGAAAAATGGAACTTCTAGATTCAGATTTTCCCCATTTTGTTGTTCTAGAGTCAGACTCACCATTGTGGGGTAGAATATAATAAGATATATTGCTTTTGCCAGAGAAGGTTACAGGGAAGTGGGGGCATTGGTCTAGAAATTGACCAGCTAAAGCTGAAGAAATAAGCTTTAGATAAGGGTAGATTTGGGGGAAATGATTCAATTAGTTTTACTATTCCTACCCTTAGTTTGATGAGTAAATCTTCCTGAATAGTGAGCTTGCTCCTCTAGATCTCAGTTTCTCATTCAATTTAAAAAAAAAAAGATTATGTCTTAGTAAAAACACAAGTATCAAGTTTTCTCTCTCTGTGACATGTTTTCATAAAATGCATTTTGAGAAATCGTCCATGAACCTGCACCATCTACTAACTCTCACCATAATTTTATGCAACCAAGAGAAGCACGGATGGATACCTTTGGCTAGCTACACAGGAATGGTGATAAACTGCATCTTTGACATCCACCAGCATGACAAGTGAAATAAGACCTAAAACCAGGAAATTCTGGGACTCAGTTTCCCCAAATTTCAAACAGAAACAATAAAATCCATGCTACATATCTCAAAAGGCTATATATCATAATGGTTGCCAAAGTGATTTGAAGCAGACAGATTATAAAATAGACCATCACTTCTGAATACAGATAGGGTACAGTAGAAATAATAGGAAACAGAAATCCGAGGTTTTGCCTCAGGCATTTACTAGCTGAGTGACTGACTGACTGACTACAGATGACTTGGACCAGTCTAGTTGAAATAATTTAAGGTTATCTTCCCATTTCCATAATTACATATGAATTAGTCCTTCAAAAACTATATACTATTTAAGGTTCTATATTGACTTTTCTTTTTTTTTTTTTTTTGAAACTGAATCACCAAATCTCACTCTCTTGCCCAGGCTGCAGTGCAGTGATGCAATCTTAGCTCACTGCAGCCTCCGCCTCCCAGGTTCAAGTGATTCGTCTGCCTCAGCCTCCTGAGTACCTGGGATTACAGGTGTACACCATCAGGCCTAGTTAATTTTGATATTTTTAGTAGAAACGGCATTTCACCATGTTGGTCAGGCTGGTCTTGAACTCCTGACCTAAGGTGATCCCACCCACCTGAAACTCCTAAAGTACTCGGATTACAGGCATTAGCCACTGTGCCTAGCCAGTTTCTATAATACTGATTTTACAGCAAAGATTTTATTAAAGATCCAATATTATGCCCAAGATAAATTAAAATTATCACTTTATGAAAGGATTCCAAATAGGGTTTCTTTAAATAATTTTCCCAGAACTTATATTTTTACTTATTAGAGGTAACGCTTTCTGTATACCTTCCTAAAAATGTTAGAAATTTAATGTTACATCTAAGTTATACATTCAGCTGCCAACGTTAGGAATTAAATGTTATATTAAGTTATTCCTTCAACTATCTCCTACAACTGATTAAAGTAAACAAAAGGAAGAACAAGTTTCCATAAGACAAAATTGAAAACCAGTATTATGAATCCAGTTTTGGGTAGACACATTCAGGTAAACGCAAGGTTGATATTCAATAGTCACACATGGGTTTCTGCCCTACTTGGCCATCAGCTGCTGTTTAATAGAGGGCCCAACTACCCCTTTCCCACACGAGGTTCCCAGTCTCCTCTCCCAGAATCCCTGAATAAGCCACCTGCCCTATATTCCCCACAACTCCACAACTAAAGAGCGAAACCCCAGGAGGAAAGGGCAGGCCCAGTATGCTGTTCCAGTCCTGAATCCTTGGTGCCTATGCCACATAGGTTGTTAAATATTTGGAATATCACCCTTGGGTAAACGCTATGTGGGTGAAATATACTTTATGCCTTCTAAAGGAAGAGTAAGAGATTTAGTGGATCTGACTTCAAATTTTTCTATCTCTTTGGTTGAGTCGATCAAATTACTGGCAGCTTTATGCATGTAGGTAGGCAACGTTGCTCCCTGTTCTTTTTGGGGTTACCACCTCTTTTTTCTTTGTTGTCATTATAATGGTAAGAACTTCAGAGCTAACACTTGGACAGGAAAACTCAGTCCAAAATATTTGCCTCTAGGAAATCAGACATCTAAAAGTATATGTCAGTCTCTTTCCCTGATCTCAATCTGTGCAAAATTAAAAAAAAAATTAAAAGATTACAAAAATGTTTTTCAACAAAACATATCAAAATGTACAGTTTTTCTCTACAGTCTCAGAGGAACTTAACGGAATAGTAACTACTGGCTATCTAGAACACCACCAAATGCCAAAGAGACTGTCAGTTTGATTCAACTTGCTAATTAAAGTGAACTAAGATAACATTTGAAAGATGTTTTTAAAAAGTGTTTTACTAAACACTTGTTTACTTATTAAAAATCTTTCTAAATATTTCTCATTTGGATCTGACCAGCTACACTGTGATATATGTTATTAACACTATTTCACAGATGAGGATATTGATGCTCTCAGACATTTGCCCAATATTACTCTGCTGTTAATTAAGAGAGGGCACTGTGCACAGCAAAAGAAGCCTAAGAAGTACCCTAGAGAAACTTAAAATTCTAACTAAAGGACGAGCTCAAAGGGCTAAAATAGAGTTAGCGATGAGATATACGTCTTTGGAATCTCTCTTGCACTGTCATTACCATATTCATCCTACTGCAAAGGCGAGAGCCCTAGTACCTGCAACAGCCATGATGCTCAAGTTAAGCCTGCTGTCGCTTTAAAACAATAACATGTAAACTTAGTAAATGTACCAATCATTTAGTAAAGTAAATGCCAACTAAAACGGCAATGTATGTCAGTTTTGATTCACTAAGATATGCATCAGAAATATGAAATCAAACACATGTCTAAAATAATTTTCCAAAAAGCCAATAATGAGTGTGATAGGAAAGACATGCTTCAAAATAAAATTTTCTTCCCTGGGATTTATTAGATAAAATTCCCATTTAAAAATTAATTACAATAATTCCAGCAGTAGCATGATATAAGTCTCCTATCCCTAATAGTTCTTTACCAAAGTTATTAAGTGGAAAAATCACTTTACAACACACAAGTTGTCTTCTGTAATTACTTAAGACTAAACAGACCTTCTGGGCTCCCTTCATTCACTGATGGTTAAACAGTTGAGCAATATTTTAATATACATTCTATGTAATTGCACAGAATTTTAACATCATAAGCTATTGCCTGGAATCAATTATCTCAATCACAATTTCTCTAATTGTTTTTCCAAATATTTTTTATAAATCAAAATCTGGTCTACTTCCAATGGACTCAAAACTTGCTTACAGTTCCAGAACACAAAAATTTCCATTAAGTTAGGACTTACTACACAACAATAATAACAATAACAATAATACATTTCAATTCATGTTTTCATACCATCTTTTAAAAAGTAGCTTGGCCTCCCATAAAACACTTCCTCACCCTGTGAAAAAGATTTGTGACAGAACAGTGTGAACAAGGAAAGTATTTGGTGCAAAGAATATACGCGGCCTCTGTATGTTAACATTTATCAATGCTACAGTGTCTAGGATATAGTCTAGCACCTACACTCCAAAAGGCAAAAATTATTAAATGAAGCTCTTCAAACAGAAAGGCTCAGCTGTGACATATGCACCAAAAACAGGAGTTCTATTTTCCTTGGCTTTAAAAAAAAATCACTTCTGAGAATTTCTTCTGAGACCAATCTGCAAATAGACTTTTCACACTGACCTCCTTGTTTGTCCAAGCAGGTCTAAAGAGTGAAACCACAAGGTTCAATCAGTTAAGCTATCTTCCTGCTTTAGGCTCCACTCAAAGAGGGCTATTATGTCAATGCAGCCCTGCTACAAACAACTTCTGTAGGTGTTTAATTTCTGTCACCAGGGAACATCTGTCTATGGAATTTGTTTGTATGTATTAAATAGGATGTTCTTTACGTAACAAGCATAATAGAGTAAAACATATGCACATTCTAAGAACTTTAAACTTCATAAAAAGCACTTTTTCAAAAACTTCCCCACTTATGCTCCACATTCTATTCAGCCAAGTGAACACACATTATTTCCTCTAGCCCTAAAATGTTACCTAATATTTATTCCATCACACGATTTCTAATAAAACTTACCTAGATTACATGTTAATATATGCAATTACATGAACAATATATTAATAAAATGTGTTGTGTTAATTTTTAAATTTCCCTTCAGCAGAGCATTTGAGATTGCTATTCTAATTCCAAATATATAGTAAGCAATATGAATTCATTTTTATGAAAGAAAATTTCATATTTCTCATATTTCATTTATACCCCTGATTAGAAATATCAGTTATTCTAGGCTGAGTTTTCATCTTTGGGCAGCTGCTTTCTGTTTGTCCAACTTTGCATTACTAAATTGATCTAAAATCATCAAAATATTCTCTAAAAGGATTACACATGAGTTGTATGATTAAATATACTTGATTTCTCTACAGTATTGTCTTCTGAGGTGATTCTGAATCCTGAAAGACTCATTTATCCATAATCACAATACAGAATTTTAGTCACAGAAGAACCTTTGGTGATATGAGACAGCCCTAAATTTATGGTTGAGAAAAGTGAGGCTGAATAAAATGAAAATAATTTTATGTTATCCTGAAAACGAATATATGTCACTCAATGGACCTAAAAGTAAATACACAGGCAGGTCATTCATGAAGCCACAGCACAAAAAAACAAAATACATAAATCAAATACAGTCACATGAGGCATGCAGCATAAAGAGGTTTTGGCTGACAATAGACCACAAAAATGAGGGTGGTCCCATAAGATTATAATACCATACAGTAATTTTACTGTACCTCTTCTATGTTTAGATATATTAAACTATACAAATACTTACCATCGTGATACAACTGCCAACAGTATTCAGTACAGTAACATGCTGCACATGTTTGTTGCTAAGAGCAATAGACTAAACCATATAGCCTAGGTGTGTAGCAGGCTATATCATTTAGGTTTAAATAAAGTCCATGATGTTTGCACAACAACAAAATCACCTTGAAGCATCTCTCAGAACGTATCCCCGTCGCTAAGTGACACATGACTATAAAAATGTAGCTCTTTTCAAGAGAGGCTGGCAAGATAGCTGAATAGGAACAGCTATGGTCTGCAGCACCCAGCTAGATCAACGCAGAACGTGGGTGATTTCTGCATTTCCAACCGAGGTACACAGCTCATCTCATGGGGACTGGTTAGACAGTGGGTGCAGCCCACTTGGGGCGAGCCGAAGCAGGGTGGGGCATCACCTCACCCAGGAAGTGCAAGAGGTCAGAAAACTCCCTCCCATAGCCAAGGGAAGCCGTGAGGGACTGTGCTGTGAGGAATGGTGCATTCTGGCCCAGATACTACACTTTTCCCACGGTCTTTGCAACCTTTAGACCAGGAGATTCCCTCCAGTGCCTATGCCACCAGGGCCCTGGGTTTCAAGCACAAAACTGGGTGGCTGTTTAGGCAGACACCAAGCTAGCTGCAGGAGTATTTTTTCATACCCCGGTGGCACCTGTAACACCAGCAAGACAGAACCATTCACTCCCTTGGAAAGGGGGCTGAAGTCAGGGAGCCAAGTGGTCTAGCTCAGCAGATCCCACCCCTATGGAGTCCAGCAAGCTAAGATCCACTGGCTTGAAATTCTCACTACCAGCACAGCAGTCTGAAGTCGAACTGGGACACTCAAGCTTGGTGGGGGTAGGGGTGTCCGCCATTGCTGAGGCTTGAGTACGTGGTTTTCCCCTCACAGTGTAAACAAAGCAGAGGGGAAGTTCCAGCTGGGCAGAGCTTTCCACACCTCAGCAAAGCCACTGTAGCCAGACTGCCTCTCCAGATTCCCACATTCTGGGCAGGGTATCTCTGAAAAAAAGGCAGCAACCCCAGTCAGAGGCTTATAAATAAAACCCCCATCTCCCTGGGACAGAGCACCTCAGGGAAGGGGCAACTGTGGGTGCAGCTTCAGCAGATTTAAACGTCCCTGCCTGCCAGCTCTGAAGAGAGCAGCAGATCTCCCAGCACAGTATTTGAGTTCCACTAAGGGTCAGACTAGACCACCTCCTCAAGTAGGTCGCTGACACCTGTGTCTCCTGACTGGGAAACACCTCACAGCAGGGACCAATAGACACCTCACACAGGAGAGCTCCGGCTGGCATCTGGAGGGTGCCCCTCTAGGACAAAGCTTCCAGAGCAAGGAACAGGCAGCAATCTTTGCTGATCTGCAGCCTCCACTGGTGATACCCAGGTAAACTGGGTCTGGAGTAGACCTCCAGCAAACTCCAGCAGACCTGCAGTAGAGAGGCCTAACTGTTAGAAGGAAAACTAACAAACAGAAACAAATAGCATCAACATCAACAAAAAGGATGTGCACACAGAAACCCCATCTGAAGGTCACCAACATCAAAAACCAAAGGTAAATAAATCCACAAAGATCAGAAGAAACCAGCATGAAAAGGCTGAAAATTCCAAACACCAGAAAGCCTCTTCCTCCAAAGGATCACAACTCCTTGCCAGCAAGAAAACAAAACTGAATGGAGAATGAGTTTGACAAACTGACAGAAATAGGCTTCAGAAGACAGGTAATAACAAACTCCTCTGAGCTAAAGGAACATGTTCTAACCCAATGCAAGGAAGCTAAGAACCTTGATAAAAGGACAGAGGAATTTGCTAACTAGAATAACCAGTTTAGAGAAGAACATAAATGATCTGATGGAGCTGAAAAGCAAAGCCCAAGAACTTCGTGAATTATACACAAGTATCAATAGCCAAATTGATCAAACTGAAGAAAGGGTATCAAGAGATTGAAGATCAACTTAATGAAATAAAGCATGAAGACAATATTAGAGAAAAAGGAATGAAAAGGAATGAATAAAGCCTCCAAGAAATATGGGACTATGTGAAAAGACCAAATCTATGGTTGATTGGTGTACCTGAAAGTGACAGGGGGAATGGAACCAAGTCGGAAAACACTCTTCAGGATTTTATCCAGGAGAACTTGCCCAACCTAGCAAGACAGGCCAACATTTAAATTCAGGAAATACAGAGAATACTAAAAAGTTACTCCTCAAGAAGAGCAACTGCAAGACACATAATCGTCAGATTCACCAAGGTTGAAATAAAGGAAAAAATGTTAAGGGCAGCCAGAGAGAAATGTCGGGTTACCCACAAAGGCAAGCCCATCAGGCTAACAGTGAATCTCTCTGCAGAAACCCTACAAGCCAGAAGAGAGTGGGGGCCAATATTCAACATTCTTAAAGAAAAGAATTTTCGCCAGGCACAGTGGTTCACGCCTGTAATTCCAGCACTTTGGGAGGCTGAGGAGGGTGGATCACGAGGTCAGGAGTTCAAGAACAGCCTGGCCAACATGGTGAAACCCCGTCTCTACTAAAAATACAAAAATTAGCCAGACATGGTGGTGACCACCTGTAATCTCAACTACTCGGGAGGCTGAGGCAGGAGAATTGCTTGAACCCAGGAGGCAGAGGTTGCAGTGAGCTGAGATCATGCCATTGCACTCAAGCCAGGTGACAGCGAGACTCCATCTCAAAAAAAAAAAGGATTTTCAACCCAGAATTTCATACCCAGCCAAACTAAGCTTCATACGCAAAGGAGAAATAAAATCCTTCACAGACAAGCAAAGGCTGAGAGATTTTCTCACAACCAGGCCTGCCTTACAAGAGCTCCTGAAGGAAGCACTAAACTTGGAAAGGAATAATCGATACGAGCCACTGCAAAAACATACCAAATTACAAAGCCTATTGACACTAGGAAGAAACTGCATCAACTAATGGGCAAAATAACCAGCTAGCATCATAATGACAGTATCAAATTCACACATAACAATATTAACCTTAAATGTAAATGGTCTAAATGCCCCAATTAAAAGACACAGACTGGCAAATTGGATAAAGGCTCAAAACCTATCGGTGTGCTGTATTCAGGAGACCTATCTCATGTGCTAAGATACACATAGGCTCAAAATAAAGGGATGAAGAAATATTTACCAAGCAAATGGAAAACAAAAAAAAAGCAGAGGTTGCGATCCCACTCTAAGAGAAAACAGACTTTAAACCAACAAAGATCAAATGAGACAAAGAAAGGCATTATATAATGGTAAAGGGATCAACGCAACAAGAAGACCTAATTATCCTAAATATACATGCACCCACTACAGGAACACCCAGATTCATATAGCAAGTTCTTAGAGACCTACAAAGAGATTTAGACTCCCACACAATAATAGTGGGAGATTTTAACACCCCACTGTGTATATCAGACACCTCAAGGAGGCAGAAAATTAACAAGGATATTCAGGACTTGAACTGAGCTCTGGTCCAAGTGACCTAACAGACATCTACAGAAATCTCCACCCCAAATCAACAGAATATACATTCTGAGCACCACATCACACTTACTCTAAAATTGACCACATAATTGGAAGTAAAACACTCCTCAGCAAATGGAAAAGAATGGAAATCTTAACAGTCTCTCAGATCACAGTGCAATCAAATTAGAACTCAGGATTAAGAAACTCACTCAAAACCACACAATTACATGGAAACTGAACAACGTGCTACTAAAGGACTACTGGGTAAACAAAGAAATTAGGGCAGAAAACATTTCTTCGAAACCAATGAAAACAAAGACACAACATACCAGAATCTCTGGGACACGGCTAAAGCAGTGTTTCGAGAGAAACTTATAGCACTAAATGCCCACAAGAGAAAGCAGGAAAGATCTAAAATCGACACCCTAACATCACAATTAAAAGAACTAGAGAAGGCCGGGCATGGTGGCTCACGCCTGTAATCCCAACACTTTGGGAGGCCAAGGCGGGCAGATCACAGGGTCAGGAGATTAACACCCTCCTGGCTAACACGGTGAAACTCCAACTCTAATAAAAATACAAAAGAATTAGCCAGGTGTGGTGATGGGTGCCTGTAGTCCCAGCTACTCAGGAAGGAGGCAGGAGAATGGCGTGAAACCAGGAGGCAGAGCTTGCAGTGAGCCAAGATCGCGCCACTGCACTCCAGCCTGGGCAACAGAGCAAGACTCCATCTCAAACAAACAAAAAAAAGAACTAGAAAAGCAACGGGCAAATAAATAATTCAAAAGCTAGCAGAAGACGAGAAATACCTAATATGAGAGCAGAACTGAAGGAGATAGAGACATGAAAAACCATTCAAAAAAATCAATGAATCCAGGAGCTGCATTTTTGAAAAGATCAACAAAATAGACCGCTAGCCAGACTAATAAAGAAGAAAAGAGAGAAGAATCAAATAGATGCAATTAAAAATGATAAAGGGGATATCACCACTGATCCCAAAGAAATACAAACTACCATCAGAGAATACTATAAACAACTCTACAAAAATAAACTAGAAAATCTAGAAGAAATGAATAAATTTCTCGACACATACACCCTCCCAAGTCTAAACAAGGAAGAATTCGAATCACTGAATAGACCAATAACAAGTTCTAAAACTGAGGCAGTAATTAACAGCCTACCAACCAAAAAAAGTCCAGGACCAGACAGAATCACAGCCGAATTCTACCAGAGGTACAAAGAGGAGCTGGTACCATTCCTTCTGAAACTATTCCAAACGATAGAAAAAGAGGGAATTCTCCTAAACTCATTTTATGAGGCCAGCATCATCCTGATACCAAAACCTGGCAGAGACACAACAAAAAAGAAAATTTCAGGCCAATATTCCTGATGAACATTGATGCTAAAATCCTCAATAAAATACTGGCAAACCAAATCCAGCAGGACATCAAAAAGCTTATCCACCACGATCAAGTTGGCTTCATCCCTGAGATGCAAGTCTGGTTCAACATACACAAATCAATAAATGTAATCCATCACATAAACAGAACCAATGAAAAAAACCACATGATTACCTCAATAGATGCAGAAAAGGCCTTCAATAAAATTCAACACCCCTTCATGCTAAAAACTCTCAATAAACTAGATATTGATGGCACATATCTCAAAATAAGACCAGCTATTTGTGACAAACCCATAGCCAATATCATACTGAATGGGCAAAAACTGGAAGCATTCCCTTTGAAAACCAGCACAAGACAAAGATGCCCTCTCTTACCACTACTATTCAATATAGTATTGGAAGTTCTGGCCAGGGCAGTCAGGCAAGAGAAAGAAATAAAGGATATTCAAATAGGAATAGAGGAAGTCAAATTGTCTCTATTTGCAGATGACATAATTGTATATTGTATATTTACAAACTCCATCATCTCAGCCCCAAATCTCCTTAAGCTGATAAGCAACTTGAGCAAAGTCTCAGGATAAAAAAATCAAGTTGCAAAAATCACAAGCATTCCTATACATCAATAATAGACAAACAGAGAGGCAAGTCATGAGTGAACTCCCATTCACAATTGCTACAAAGAGAATAAAATACCTAGGAATATAACTTACAAGGGATGTGAAGGACCTCTTCAAGGAGAACTACAAACCACTGCTCAAGGAAATAAGAGAGGACACACACAAATGGAAAACATTCCATGCTCATGGATAGGAAAGAATCAATATTGTGAAAATGGCCATACTGCCCAAAGTAATTTATAGATTCAGTGTGATTCCCATCAAGCTACCATTGACTTTCTTCACAGAATTAGGAAAAAACTACTTTAAATTTCATATGGAACCAAAAAACAGCCCACATAGCCAAGACAATCCTAAGCAAAAAGAACAAAGCTGGAGCCATCACGCTACCTAACTTCAAACTACACTACAAGGCTACAGTAACCAAAACAGCATGGTACTGGTACAAAAACAGAGATATAGACCAACGGAACAGAACAGAGCCCTTGGAAATAACACCACACATCTACAACCATCTGATCTTTGACAAACCTCACAAAAACAACCAATGGGGAAAGGATTCCCTATTTAATAAATGGTGTTGGGAAAACTGGCTAGCCATATGCAAAAAACTGAAACTGGACCCCTTCCTTACATCTTATACAAACATTAACTCAAGATGGATTAAAGACTTAAACATAAGACCTAAAACCATAAAAACCCTAGAAGTAACCCTAGGCAATACCATTCAGGACACAGGCATGGGCAAAGACTTCATGACTAAAACACCAAAAGTAATGGCAACAAAAGCCAAAATTGACAAATGGGATCTAATTAAACTAGAGCTTCTTCAAAGCAAAAGAAACTATCATCAGAGTGAACAGGCAACCTACAGAATGGGAGAAAATTTTTGCAATCTATCCATCTGACAAAGGGCTAATATCCAGAATCTAGAAAGAACTTAAATAAATTTACAAGAAAAAAAAAAAACCAACCCCATCAAAAAGTGAGCAAAGAATATGAACACTTTTCAAAAGAAGACATTTATGCGGCCAACAAACATGAAAAAATGCTCATCATCACTGGTCATTAGAGAAATGCAAATCAAAACCACAATGAGACACCATCTCACACCAGTTAGAATGGCGATCATTAAAATGTCAGGAAACAACAGATGCTGGAGAGGATGTGGAGAAATAGGAATGCTTTTACACTACTGGTGGGAGTGTAAATTAGTTCAACCATTGTGGAAGACAGTGCGGCGATTCCTCAAGGATCTAGAACTAGAAATACCATTTGACTCAGCAATCCCATTACTGGGTATATACCCAAAGGATTATAAATCATTCTACTGTAAAGACACATGCACACGTATGTTTACTGCAGCACTGTTCACAATAGCAAAGACTTGGAACCAACCCAAATGCCCAGCAATGACAGACTGGATAAAGAAAATGTGACACATATACACCACGGAATACTATGCAGCTATGGCTGAGTTCATGTTATTTGAAAAGGATGAGTTCATGTTATTTGTAGGGACATGGATGAAGCTGGAAACCATCATTCTCAGCAAACTAACACAAGAACAGAAAACCAAACACTACATGTTCTCACTCATAAGTGGGAGCTGAACAATGAGAACACATGGACACAAGAAGGGGCCTGTCTGGGGGACAGGATGGGGGCTGGTGGCTAGGGGAGGGATAGCAGTAGGAGAAATACCTAATGTAGATGACGGGTTGATGGGTGCAGCAAACCACCATGGCACATGTATACCTATGTAACAAACCTGCACGTGCTGCACATGTACCCTAGAACTTAAAGTATAATACAAATAAATAAATAAATAACAACAAAAATGTAGCTCTTTTCTATGATAAAGTTGAACTTACAAATTGAATATTCTAAAAAATAATAAAATATTTAATTTATATCTTCGTTTTAAATTTTATTGACATTTGATTCACAATGACCTGGATATGTAAACTGTACAATTTGATGATTTCTGACCTATATATTCCCATGAAACCATCACTACACCTAAGATAACAAGCATTTCTACCAGACCCTTTACAATCCAATTCTCACTGTACCCTGTTTCCAGGTAACATTGATCTGCTTTATGTCACTACAGGTTCATTGCACTTTCTAGAACTGTATATAAGTAGAATTATATAATAAATATTTCTCTATTGGTCTGGCTTCTTTAAGGGTAATTATTTTGAAATTCATCAATGATGATGATGATGATGATGATGATGATAATGATATAGCCATTTGTTCCTTTTGACTGCTGAGTCCACTGTTTGGGTATGATACAGTTTGTTTCTCCATTCACCTGTTGATGGATATTGGGTTGTTTCCAGTTTTGGCTATTGCAAATGAAACTGCTATCAACATTCATGTACAAATTTCTGTATGGGCACATGTTTTCATTTCTCTTGTATAAATAACTAGGAGTGGAATGGCTGGTTTGGGCGAGGGGGGATGTTTAATGCTTCAAGCAATTGCCAAACTGTTTACTGTTTTACATTTACTTCAGCGATATATATAATTTCCAGTTGTTCCACATGCTTGCCATCCTAATGGATGTAGAGTAAGATAAAATTGTGATTTTACTTTGCACTTCTCTGATAACAACCTATGCTAATCATCTTTTTATGGTTTATCGATTATTCATGTATTTTCTTTTATCAAGTATTAGTTCAAAAATTTTGCCCACTATTTTAAAATTGGATTGTCCTGTTATTATTAAATGGAAAGAGTACTTTATATATTCTGGACACAAGTCCTTTGTCTGATATATGTTTTGGAAATGTTTTCTTCAATTCTTGCTTTTTTGTGATGTGACCTTACTGTGTCATGCCCCAACGGTGAAGATTTTAAGTTATATGTTACTTTATTTATTTATTTATTTTAATTGAGACTGAGTCTCGCTCTATCGCCCAGGCTGGAGTGCAGTGTTGCGATCTGGGCTCACTGCAACCTCCACCTCATGGGTTCAATTGATTCTTGTGCCTCAGCTGGGATTACAGGCGCCTGCCACCACACCCAACTAATTTTTGTACTTTCAGTAGAGATGGAGTTTCACCATGTTAGCCAGGCTGGTCTCGAACTCCTAACCTCAAGTGATCTGCCTGCCTTGGCCTCCCAAAGTGCTAGGATTACAGGCGTGAGCCACCACGCCCAGCCTATTTTTTCTAAGTAGTATGGTTTTAAGTTTTACATGTTGGTCTATGATCCAATCAAATTTTTATGTCTGGTATGAAGTTAAGAGTTAATGTTAATTGTTTTCCAGATGGATATCCAGTTAATATGGTGCCATTTCTGAAAAGATTTTCCTTTTCCCTTTTAATTACCTTGGTAATGTCAAGAACCATGAAGGGTCTGAGATTTTACCCTACTTGCAAGCTACAAGTTAGCCCGCAATGGCTTCCCTCATGCCAGCAGAAGACCCAAGACACCTGAATCAGAGACAAAGCACCTTATTACTCTCAGCACGTCAGGCAGTAAGAGCTTCATGTTTGCATTGGTCCTCCTTAACCACCAACGCCCACAGGGAAATGCAGAAGCAAGGTCAGATGAAGGCTGGCACACAGCGGGTCAGTGTCACAACTGAGGAACCATAAACTTAGCAAACACTCACTCTTACACAGTGGCTGCTAGCAACCCTACCCAGGCTTTGCCTAAGTTGAAGACATTATGCTTACTATCGTGGTCAGAAAACAAATCCAGTTCCTCCCTCCTGTTAGCGCTTGAGGGAAAATGTCATGGAAAGCAAGATACTAGTCATACTTAAAAGTGATTTTAGCTGGGATTTCTTTGTGGAAAATATTCCCAAAGATTGTGTTGTCACCAGGCCAAACGACATGAGCCTTAGTGATGTCATCTGCCATCTTGGCCTCTTCCAACACATTTTCTAGTGATACACAAGAAACATATCCCAGATTTCTGCTGCAGAAGATGATAACGAGAGCCTTCTTGGACATTTAATGATTGTTGGCAAGAAATGTGCTGCTCATCTGGGCCTGAGTAAGGGTTACTGAATGAATGGGTGGTGAATGAACATTCAGATGGTGGACAGTCTGTCTATCATGTTCATCTTCATGTTCTTGGAGTCAGCAGATGAATCAGCCTCCTGGTTAAGCATGTTTTGGGGATAATTTTCCCTTCTCTAGGCAATGATTAAGTTTGCACATTCCAATATGTTAAATAGCACATTTATTTTTGCCTGTGTATGGAGAGATTCAGGAAATAATTTTTGAAACCTTTAAAACCCATACATAATAAGCTATTGTTGCATGGTTAAAAATAAAAGAAAACAAATCCAGACTCTTCTCCCAGAGAAAGGCACTATCTCAATCTCCCAAGCAAGTTTACTATACAAATGTCTTTGGAAAGATAGTCTAGAACAAACATGCCAATGCATCTTGCTCAAAAGATGTGTAGAAATGTCAGAGAACCACAAGAATTTGTCTTAGAACAGGTACATCTATTAAAAAAATCAATTGATCATATATGTGTGGGCCTACTTTTAGATTCTCTATCGTGTATAATTTCATCATACCAAAATGTGTTGATTATTGTAGCCTTATATTAGTTCTTCAAATCAGGTAGGATAAGTCCTCCAACCTTCTTTTTTTTAAACTTCTTTGGTTATTCCAGGTCCTTTTTAACTTCCACATAGTTTTTATAATCAGCTTCTCAGTTTCTACCCTCCTATTCTATTGGCAACATTTTGTATTTTTCAGTGTAGGGGTCTTAGACATCTTTGTTTTGTTTATACCCAAGTATTTTATGATTTTTGGTGCTATTATAAACGGGATTCTTTTAAAATTCATTTTCCAACAGTACGCTGTTAGGATAAATGAATGCACCAATTTTAGTATATTAACCTTGTAGTTTGCAATTATGAAGATTCACTTACTAGTTCTAGTAGTTGTTTTATAGGGTTCCTAAAATATTTTCATGTAATAATCATAACATCTGTAAACAGTAACAGTATTATTTCTCATTTCCCCATCTTTATTCCTTTCATTTCTTTTACTTGCTATATTTCAGTTTCCCAGAGAGTACCACAAACTGCTTGGTTTAAAACAACAAAAATTTATTATCTTGCAGTTCTAGAGGCTAGAAATCCAAAATTAAGGTGTTACTGGGCCATGCTCCCTCCAAAGCCTCTAGGAAAAAATTCTTCCTTCCCTCTTCTAGCTTCTGGTTGTCCTAGAAGTTCCTTGGCTTGAGGGAATATAATTCCAGTATCTGTCTCCATCTTCATATGGCTGTCTTCCCACTGCGTCTCTTCTCTTCTAATAAGGACACCAGTCATATTGGATTAGGACCCACCCTAAATCAGCATGGCCTCATTTTAACTTGATTACATTGCAAAGACCCTATTTCCAGATAAGAATACATTGAAAGGTACCAGAGGTTAGGACTTCAACATAACTTCTTGAGGTACACGATTCAATCCATAACACATACCTTATTACAATGGCTGGGACCTCCATTACAATGCTGAATGAAGTGGACGAAAGTAGGCATCCTTGTCTTGTTCTTATTCTCAGGGGAATAAGATTCTGTCTTTCACCATTAAATATGAGTTACAGATTCTTCCTAGGTGTGCAGAGTTTGAAGAATTTCCTAATTTTTCTTTAATAAATGGATTATTGTCACAGGCCTTAAATGCATCTACCAAAATAATAATGAGATTCATTTCTTTTTTTAATTACACTGATTGACTTTAGGATGTTAAATAAACCTTGTATTCTTAGGATACCTTCTACTTAGGCATGTATTATCCTTTTATATATTATTACATTTGATTTACTAATATTCTGTTAAGATTCTTGCATTTACATTCATGATAGATTTTTGTCTATAATTACCAGCTTTTCAATGTTTTTATCCGGTTTTGGCAATTTTTGAAATTTTCAAAACATTTATTTATTTCATCTCATTGTCAAATGTGTGGCATAAGACTGTTGCTGTATTCTCTAATTATCCTTTTAATGTCTGTAGTACTATTATATATCCCCCTTTTCATTCCTGATATTGATAACTTTTTTTTCTTCATCTATCTGTCTCTAGCCCCCATGATTTCCAATGAGAAATCTGTGGTCATTTAAGTCATTATTCCATTGTATATGATAAGTAATTTTTCTCTGTTTTAAGACTTTGTTTTCATCTGTGGTTTCAGCAGCTTGATTACAATCTATCTAGGCAAGATTTTCTTTCTTATTCTTTAGAGACAGGGTCTTAGGTCTTACTGTTGCCCAAGCTGAAGTGCAGTAGCGCAATCATGGTTCACTGTAACCTTGAACTCCTAGGTTCAAAAGATCTTCTTGCCTCAGTCTCCTGAGTAGCTAGGCCTACAGGCACACACCACCATGCCTGCCCTAATTTTTTTTATTTTTTGTAGAGGCAGGGGTCTCACCATGTTGCCCAGGATATTATTAAACTCCTGGCCTCAAGTAATCCTCCCACCTTAGCCTCCCAAAGTACTGGGATTACAGACATGAGCCACCATAAATCACCTAGATTTTCTTTGTACTTATCCTAACTGGTGTTCACTGACCTTCTTGAATCATTAAATGTGACTTTCTCTTCATTTACAAGACTTTTCACCCATTATTTCTTCAAACATATTTTCCTTGTCAGTCTCTCTTCTCTAAGAGTCTAATTATATTAACATCATAAATTTTGATATTATTCAGCAGGTCCATGAAACTCTGTTCATTTTTTCTCAATCTTTTATCTCTACTTTTCAGACACAATAATTTCTAATGATCTATCTTCTAGTTCACTGACACTTTCCTCTGTTACATCCATTCTATTATTAAGCCTATCTAGTGAGATTTCATTCAGAATTCTATATCCAGTGAAAATAATCCTTACAAATGAAAGCAAAATAAAGACATATTTGATAAAGCTTCCTATCATTCTGTGTAGACATTAAGTTGTGGCAATGATAAATAGCATTACACACTGTAGATTTTTAAATATAGATAGATCAACACAGAAACAGATATATATGTATATGTATGTGTGTGTGTATGTGTGTGTGTGTGTGTGTGTATATATATATTCGTGTGTGTACATATATATTTTATGTTTGCCCACTAAGAGCAACTAGAAGCAATGATAATCCATTATAAATTTTCACATGAAGTGCCCAGGTCCTGGTTTCTAAAAATTATATTCAAATAAAAGAAACTATAGCTCCTTGGAAAAATGGATTATTCCTAGACAGGAAGAGATCCGTATACAATGAGTCTAGAATATCTTTTTGTGCCACAGAATAAAGAAGAATTCAAGGAATCATGGAGATTTTTCAACAGGAAACAGAAACCATCCAGAAAAGGTTCCAATAGGCCAAATCTGGGATAATTCGAGCAAAACACTAAACCACAGTAATGGATTTTAACTCATAGATTAAGATAAGAATCCATGAGTTCATGCTAATATAAATAAATAAGTCAGTAAGCAAATGAGAAAGGAAACTTCTTCCTTACAGTACAATGACAATTAGTAAATACGGAAGTGACAGGATGAGAAAAATCATTTTACAACTATCATAGTAATGCTTTTTTTAAAGCAGTAGTGCTTCAGTCATGCAAGAATCAACAGGTGCTAAAACTAGAGCATTTAACTTTGATGAGAAATAGATATTTACAAAGTCTCAAAGTATTTTCACACAAGATATTTATTAAAGGATAAAATAATAACTTCATAGGGGACAAACTGGCAAAGTGGAGAAACCACCTTAACAAAATGATCAAAGTTAATATAATCAATAATTGGACAAATCTTTATAATGTGTCTCCAGATCTGATGCACTGAAAAGAAAACAAAAACACTTCCACAGTATTCCTGCCAAGACTGCATAAATTGAAAGCTAATCATGAGGAAAGAGCAGATAAACCCAAGCTTATGAATATTTTATCAATTAACTGGCCTACACATTTCAAAATATGTCAGTATCATAAAAGACGAAGAAAAAATAAGGAACTCTTCCAAATTAAGGGAGACATGATGTCTAAATGTAATTAATGTCTGAGCCTAGATCAGATTCTAAATCAGACTTCTTTTGTTTTCCCATAAAGGACATTACTGGGCCAACGGGTCTAATTTGAATAAAGGATACAGATTAAATAAATAAAAGTACTGTATCAATGTTAAGTTTCTGACTTTGATCAATGCATTATGGTTGTTTTAGACCATGTTCCTGATTTTAGGAAATGCATACTTGAGTATTTGGGGATAAAAACATAATCATGACTGTAACTTTATCTCAAATAGTTCAAAAAGAAAAAAGAAGAAGGCAGAGAAAACAACTATGATAAAATGTTTCCATTTTTCATTTAGGAAATCTGGGTTATGAGTACATGAGAATTATCTGTAATTCTTTCTACAATCTTTCTTTAAATCTGAAATTATTTCAAAACAAAAAGTTAGAAAAGTAAAGAGAAAATGCTAAAAACTTGTTGATCAAGTGAAAGATTTGAGAAGGGCTGCAATATTAATAATTTTTAAATCACTTCTACCTTTTAAATGTGAACTGAAAAATTTCTTTTTGCACTGGTAGCAAACCAAACTAAATAATTTCTTAATTAATAAGCACAAGCACTAATTATTTCCAAATGAACGAAAAAAGTATATGTTACTAAACTGGGGATCAAAATCTGTCCCACTACAACAGCAGTCAGGTAGGAGTCTCTTCAATGACTACACAGAAAAGATTTGGTGAAATTTGCAGAAAAGTATCTATTACTTGTATATCATCTTACTCTGGTTTAGTTCTTAAACATTTGGATAACCCTCTGTTTGCTAGTACTAGACTAATGCAATCAGCAGGGACAGAGAAACTATATAATAAAAAATGATAGTCCATGGAACAAAAACTATTTAAGGAATATGAATGAAGGAAGGAAACCACTGAACTGTGTAAATGGATGGGAAGAATATACAGTAATTAAAAATTGACTAAACTTTACCATACTGAATTAAGGTTATGAATGTCTAGGAATTATATTCCCATATATATATCAGTAAAACAATGAGACTGCCCCATCGGTAAACCCCTATCCTTCAAATAAAACCATCAGTTGGTTAATTTCTTATGCAGTGAAAATGACAAAGGCTCACAAGATTAAAAATGGTCAAGTGGCATGGGTAGTGAGTCTGCATGTATCATGAAGCCTGTTACAATTCCAACACCAACCTCTTTCCCAATTCATACTTTGAGGAATAATGTGAATTCAAAGGGGTCCACAACAAAAACAAAAACTTCCCAACTCTTCAATAAAACCTACTACATATACAAAAAAAATGGAAGGGGCCAGAGAAGTCATCCCATCCCGCTAGTAAATTAATCCCCTCTTTACAATAATAATCTAGACAAATTGCCATTTAGCTTGACAGGGAAAGGACTCACTTTGTGAAGGCAGCCCAATCAATCCATATTGAGTGATTCCAACTTTTCACATCATTACATATTAATGTAATCTACTTCCCTAAAATTTCTATATACTCAGTGATCCTAGTCCTGCCTTTTATAAGAAGGTGGAATAATTTTATGCTCATTGTCAGAAATCTTTTCTCCAGATCAGGTTCCCTAGAATTGAGAAGTCCTTCTCTAGACTTCTCATGCATTCCCTCCAAATAAAGTATCTCTTCCTAAAAGCATGATCTTGTTCATCTTACGGATATCCAATTATTCCTTAATATATAAAGTGTAGAATGAAACAAATACTCCAAAGGTATCCTAAAGAGCAGACAACAGAGTACAGGTTTGATATGGTTTGGATCTGTGTCCCTGCCCAAACATCATGTGAAATTGTAATCCCCCATGTTGGAGGTGGGGCCTGGTGGGAGGTGATTGGATCATGGGGGTGATTTCTCATGAATGGTTTAGCACTATTCCCCTAGTGCTGTTCTCATAATAGAGTTCTCAGGGTATGTGGTTGTTTAAAAGTGTGTAGCACCTCCCCTCCCTGTTCCTCCTATTCTGCCCATGTAAGTCGAGCCTGCTTCCTCTTTACCTTCCGCCATGACCTCAGTAAGTTTCCTGAGGTCTCCCCAGAAGCAGAGGCCGCTATGCTTCCTGTACGGCCTGTAGAACCATGAGCCAATTAAACCTCTTTTCTTTATAAATTACTCAGTCTCAGGTATTTCTTTACAGCAGTGCAAGAACTGACTAATACCAGGGGCCTCTTGGAAACTATTTAGAAACTATTAACTGCTATAGTCCATTATTATTTTGACAGTTTTACCAGCTTTATCATATTGTTGGCTCATATAAAACATGCAGTCAACTAAAACCTTTCTGCACTGTTTCCTCGAAATTAAGTGAATATTTTATATATCATTAATGCAGACATATATATTTATTCACATTAAATAACATATTATTTGCCATGACATAGCACATCAGTCCACTGTGATAATGTTAAATTCCTATTTCTCTACTCAATATATTAGCTATTCCTTTCAACTTTTCATGCCCTAAAAATTTATTTTGTGTACCTTCATCTAAGTCATTCATAAGAAATGTGGAGCAGATTTCAAGAGCTCCCTTTCCAAGCCAGTGCTGATTCATCCAAACCACTCTCTTTTGGAATCTTTAGTCACCCAACCATGAAGAATTTCAACTGAAAGTTGTTCTCTCCAGTAGAGTAGTTTTTAAATTCCAGTCTTCATAATTCCTGATTAGTAGTAAATGTGTGATTAATAAATTTTAACTGAAGAAAGTGAAAAATATTAAGAAATCAGAAGAGCAGAAAAGGAATCACTTACAGAGAAAATAAGGATAAAAGGATAAGACCACATATATAGTGATTACTTTTGAAACATTATCTTAGGTTTTAACTTGATTGTTCAGTTTGAAGAAAATCACAAAAGTAAATAGCATCATTATTTCCCCCTACAATCAGTAGCTCATAGAACAGAGCACAGTCTGCCAAGATTCCCTTATAAAAAGAAACTCCGAGAAAGACTAAGTAAGCCAAAATTTTTCAGATGCTTTTACTGTAAGATAATCTAAAAATCAACCTTGTGAAAGAAAGCTCTATTGTAATTCCATATTTGAAAGAATAAAATTAATTTTGGTATGTTTAATTCAGATATTAATGTTTGCATGATTCTCATTTTAAATATAACATAATATTGAGCATGAGGTATTTTGGATGTAATATGCTGATATGAAAAATATCTTTAAAGAAAGGCTGAATTCTGAAAGGCAACACTGTTACCTTAAACTTAGGCCAAATGTAAAGAGATTATATTGAAAGAGAAAAGTTTTCTCTCAGACTGCATTCTGTCAGGCAGACTCCAATTTATCATTTTTACCTACTTTCTACGTGCAATACCAACATCAGTGGTACTTGTATATCTTTATGAACAGTAACATCTGCAACTAAATGCAGAACATCAATATAAGAATACTGCTCCCCTAACACAGCCTCCTGTTTATCTTTAAATTTTAAAATATTATCTGTTATAGCAATAGTACCTGGTTCAAATAGTTATAATTTTCAAAAACAGTAGTATATAGAATTTTTTAAAATTATATATTTTGATTATATATTTTGGGGTAAACTAAAGGTGAAGGCAAAAAGGAAAAAAACTGCCTGAAGGCCTACTAACCACATAAGGGACTACTCCATCTTGCTAACATACATTTTCAATATTGAGTAACTACGCTAGAAACACAGACTTCGACTAAATTCATTGTGAGTAGAATTCAGTAACAGAAACCAAAAAGACCAAGTAAAATTTAAAGAATGAATTTCCTTTAATTTAAAAGCAGAGATAATTATCAAACTTGTAAAGAAAAATAGAAGTTCCGAAATCAGACTGCATTTAAAGGAAGCTATTTTTTTTTTCTTGCCATCTCTGATGGGTCTAGAGTCTCACTCTGTTACCCAGGCTGGAGTGCAGTGGCACAATCACAGCTCATGGCAGCCCTGACCTCCCGGACTCAAGCAATCCTTCCACCTCAGCCTCCAGAGCAGCTAGGACTACAGGTGTGTGCCACCATGCCCAGCTATTTTTATTATTATTATTATCATTATTTGTAGAGACAGTGTCTCACTGTGTTGCTCAGGCTGGCCTCAAACTCCTAAGCTCAAGTGATCCTCCTGCCTCAGCCCCCTAAAGTGCTGGGATTACAGGCGTAAGCCACAGCATCCAGCCAGTATGAAATTTAATATATAGGCAAATGCTCTTTGATATTAACATTTCTGGAACTGTGAATAGTTTGTACCCTCTGAATAGTACATACAGTACCAGAAATGCTAAGATCTCTAGCATGGAAAGGCTCTTAATAGAACACATCATTCATTAAATAATTTAATACTAAGTTCCATTTTTATTATAATCAAATATTTGCTGCTGCTCAAGCCTACAAAACCTGAGGAACTATTTTCCCTATGTGGCAAGGAACACTACTTTCCTGCTAAGCCATTCTGCCCCTGTCCTCCTCTTTACCTGGCTGGATATGCTGTGTGCACTATTCCTGCCTCTTTACAGCCAAGTAACCAGAATTCACTTCATCACTCTATGAATATATATTTATTCCTTTCATTTCAACTGGCTGTCAATAATTCCAAGCTCCTAGTTGCTTGGCTAACAACATTAAGCCCTAACTGCTCAAACTGCTGAAGCACAAGTTCTGGCAGAATTGTACAACTCCCAGTATTCTTGAAAATCCAAAGGAGCACTTGTAAGGGTCCAGTGATTACTCCTGACCTCTACATTTCATTACAAGTCATCAGGATGCATCTCTGATGGGTCTAGAGAAGTGCTAATCAAAGCTGGAACTCAAAACTTCCCTACTACCTAGCCACTGGTAGCATTAGGAAACCGCCACATCTTGATGGCGAAGACGTTAAGAATCCCAGCACACCTGGATGCTAGAGAACAATGCTATCATCCCTGTCAAGAGAGTAGGCAGCAACCTCTTTCTTTAAAGCAAGAGTCTTTTTTTAATATATATTTTCTTCATTATACTTTAAGTTCTAGTGTACATGTGCACAACGTGCAGGTTTGTTACATATGTATCCATGTGCCATGATGGTGTGCTGCACCCATTAACTCCTTATTTACATTAGGTATATCTTCTAATGCTATCCCTCCCCCCTTCCCCGACCCCATGACAGGCCCCGGTGTGTGATGTTCCCCTTCCTGTGTCCAAGTGTTTTCATTGTTCAATTCCCACCTATGAGTGAGAACATGCGGTGTTTGGTTTTCTGTCCTTGCGATAGTTTGCTGAGAATGATGGTTTCCAGCTTCATCCATGTCCCTACAAAGGACATGAACTCAACCTTTTTTACGGCTGCATAGTATTCCATGGTGTACAGGTGCCACATTTTCTTAATCCAGTCTATCACTGATGGACATTTGGGTTGGTTCCAAGTCTCTGCTATTGTGAATAGTGCCAAAATAAACATACGTGTGCATGTGTCTTTATAGTAGCATGATTTATAATCCTTTGGGTATATACCCAAAACTCCACTCTCTCCCATTCTTCAATGGGGTAGGTGTGACCATGATACCAAGTTCTCACCAAATAAGAACAAATAGAATATGAGCAGAATTTAAATATCCCACTTCCAGACCACTGCTTTTAGGAAAGCAGTGGTACTCCTTTTACACGTTTACCTCTTCTACCAGAGGACAACAGTGAAGCTTACAACGTACATGGTGATCCCATTAGACAGAAGGAGCTTCATGTTCCTGAAAGAATGTCCAACAAACCTGAAGCAGTAAGGACTATCATGTGAGTAGGAAATAAACTTTACTGAACTGAGCCATTAAAGTGTGGATTTGTTACTGCAACTTAGCCTACTCTTTAACTAAAACAGAATCCCACAATAAGGCTGATTCCTTCATCCATTGTTCCTCTTGGCAAATAGAGATAAATCTATAAGGAGTCTCTCTAATGCATTTTAAAGCTTCATATATATCTGTATGCCGATTGTAGGGAGATTTCAAGTAGGTGTTTCCCCCTAAAAACCCCTTTTATGAATCAGATAACAGAAATGTTAAAATGGAGTAGAAGAGTACCATCAAACTACAACCCACCAAAGGCATCTGATTCTCAGCTGAGCTTAGCTGACCATATTTATCATGTAATTTGTTTCTTACCATAAAACCATAAAATAGACATTATTTCAATTTTACAGGAGAAAAAACTGAAGCTTGGTTTGTTTGTGTGTTTGTTTATTTATTTGAGATGGAGTCTCACTCTGTCCCCCAGGCTGAAGCGCAATGGCATAATCTCAGCTCACTGCAACCTCCACCTCCCAGGTTCAAGTAATTCTCATGCCTCAGCCTTCTGAGTAGCTGGGATTACAGGCATGCACCACCACGCCCAGCTAATTTTTGTATTTTTAGTAGAGACAGGGTTTCACCATGTTGATCAGGTTGGTCTCGAGCTCCTGACCTCAGGTGATCCGCCCGCCTCGGCCTCCCAAAGTGCTGGTATTACAGGCGTGAGCCACCACGCCTGACAAAGCTTCGTTTCTATAACTTTGTAACAGCCACATATGGAATACTAAGGATAGTATTTAAAATCGATCCAACAGATACCTAAAGCTAACTCTTATTTATACTATACATGGATTATACAATATTTCCTCTCCAGGTTTTTACATATTTGTTGATACATACAGGCTATAACATAAAAATTACCATTTCAATACAAGATAATCAGGCCTTAAAATAAAGTTACTATTTCAATTAAGTAAAAATTACTGGGTTCTTATACATAATAACACAATTGAGGAGACATATGTATGGGAAATGAGAGAATACAAACACAAAAGACCTTCTTGCCCTAGAGCAGTGGTTCTCAACCGCAGATTTTGCCCTCCAGAGGACATTCAAGCAACGTCATCTTAAGACATTTTTATTTGTCACAAATTGGGCGAGGAGGTACCACTGGCATCTATTGGGGTGAGGCTGGGAACGCTGCTAAACATCCTACAATGCACAGGACAGTCTCCCATGACAAAGAATTATCTGGGTTAAATGTCAATAGCATCAAAAATATCTCCCTAGAATAATTTACAATCTATGGCAAAACTCTGTACTCCAATGAGGCACCTAAAATTTAGGATGGCCATTCAAAAATTTATTATGGCCGGGCACGATGGCTCACGCCTGTAATCCCAGCACTTTGGGAGGCTGAGATGGGCGGATCACCTGAGGTCGGGAGTTCAAGACCAGCCTGACCAACATGGTAAAACCTCGTCTCTACTAAAAATACAAAATTATCCTAGTGTAGTGGCGTGCTCCTGTAGTCCTAGCTACTTAGGAGGCTGAGGCAGGAGACCTGCTTGAACCTGGGAGGTGGAGGTTGCGATGAGCCAAGATCGCAGCATTGCACTCCAGCCTGGGCAACAAGCGCGAAACTCCGTCTCTCAAAAAAAAAAAAAATTATTATGGCCATTCAATGAAAAAAGATCAGGCAGGGAAAGGAGACAATGGTAAGACAACTGAATTGCTCAACAGGCTATTAGCAAATAAACCCTGTCTCACCTCCAGGAGACCATATCAGAATTGAGAAGGGTAAGGGATATGGCAAAGTACTCTTTATAATTAGAATGTAGTAAATTTTATTTTTTCTCAGTAGTTTACCAGAAGGTATTATCCTACTAAATAAAATGTTAATTTCCTGTGTTGCAGAAATATATAATAGGTCATGCACTTTATATTTAGGATCTTCCTTTCAAAAAATCAAAGGCCTAGCCAAATATCTTCTTATATAAACAAGCATTAAAAATGTTCTTGGCCGGGCAAGGTGGTTCACGCCTGTAATTCCAGCACTTTGGGAGGCTGAGGCAGGTGAATCACCTGAGTTCGAGACCAGCCTGGCCAACACGGTAAAACCCTGTCTCTACTAAAAATAACAAAAATTAGCCGGGTCTGGTGATGCATGCCTGTAATCCCAGCTACTCGGGGAGCTGAAGCAGGAGAATCACTTGAACCTGGGAGGCGGAGGTTATAGTGAGCGGAGATTGTGCGGCTTCACTCCAGCCTGGGCAAAAGAGTGAAACTCCATCTCAAATAAATAAATAAATAAATAAATAAATAAATAAATAAATAAGTTCTTAAGATCTCAATTTATTTTAATCCTTATGAAAGGTGCAAATTGAAGCAAGTAATTCAGATTTTGTGGAAAGATTCTTGGCAAAAATTAACAAATAAGGCTACAGAGAGAACATTAAGACATTTAAAAACTTAATAAAAATATCCTACCATCAAAATACCACTAAGGTTTTTACAAAATTGAAATCTATAAGCAAGATGCTAAAAATAAGTGTAGATTACTTCTAAGATACTTTCCACTTCTAAAAATTCTATGATTCTTCTCATCAATTTTTTTTTGTATCTTTAGAAGAGAATAATAATTTATGTCTGGTAACAAGGGAAAGGCTAATTAATTTTTCTATTTGCATCTGTTCAATGGAGAAAAAGAATTCACAAAAATTGTGAAGTGGTAAGGTTTGTAGCACTTATTTATATAGGCTACTATAAATATAGCCAGAACATTTTTCTAAACCAAAGATCTTAAAGAAATGCTTTATTAACTTTCTTGGCAGGTGCTGACCATAACCAGATGCTAGTATATATCACTTTTACAACATATAAATGATCCTAAAATGAGCTGAAAATTGAACTTTTGAAAATGAAATTAGGTTTAAATTCACAAGGTGAGTTTGTAATTTAAAACCATTCTGTGGATTTTCTTTTTTGCATATTTAAGTGTTTTGAAATGTGAATAAATCTGTGCGATTCTGAATAGGTTTTCTTAATGCATTTTATATCTGTGATTATATGCCTTGAAACTTCTAAAAATTTTCTTTAAACTTTTTTAAAAAGTTTATTGTAAGACAAAAGTTCAATACTAATGTTCCAGTCATTAGTTTTTTTAAACTGTTATTCTCTATAAAATGAATTCATACAGTATTCACAAATCCTCAGTTTACTGAGTGCCCTGAATAAACAATAAATTGTTACCATATTTAGCCCTGTGGAGAAAACTAAAAATAGATTATATCATATAATTACAAAGTGAAATAACAAGTGGAAAAAATGAAAAAATTAAAAAGTAAATAAATCACTTTATCAAAATTAAAATCATTTACCTTTCATCAGGAATACAACATTGAGCAAAACAAAATCCCTGCCCACGTGGTGCATAGTCTAGCAGCCTGGCACCCAACCAACAAAATGCCAATTCTAACAGCTTACAAACGAAAGTATATAGTTTTTCCATGAAAAATTACCTCCATTATCTCTGTTCTAGGATAATCAGAAATCTTTACTCAAGTCAGCAAGAGAAAAATATATTAAAATCCTCTTTTCCACAGGGAAACATTCGACAGATCTTTGTTAAGATATGGACTGTAGTCTGTGGGAAGGAATCATCATTTGTAGTGTGTCCTTCCCCTTCACCATGACAACGTGCAGCAGCAAAGCTGGATGAAGTGCATGTACCCATCTGTCATCAGGAGTATATTTAACCAATGACTACAGGACAGCGACATCCAACAGGTCACCAGTCATACCACAGTATACGGTATCTACTCTCAGTCATATCCAGTCATATCCATTCTATTATTGAGCCTATCCAGTAAGCTTTTATTCTATGCATGAGTACTCTGGATTAGCCCTCTAAAGAAGGTTCATTTAGGCACGTAGTATCCAGAATTGATATTAATAAGACATTCCTATTCTTTTCAGAGTCTTTAAGCAGCTCCATATACATGGAACTCATTCATTAAGTCGGTACTCATAGATTAGTTAATTTAAAAAGGTATAATTATGTTGATTATAGCAGAAATGGGATAGTGACAAAGTAAGCTTTCTTTAAAGATTTTTAAACATGTCTCACAGACTTAAAAGAGGCCAAATGTAACCTAGGTGTGTCCTCTCTTCCTCTCCTTCCAATAGCTTTTTTTTGGCCGTCATACTGTTTTAAAATAAATTTCTTTACAAAATAACCAGTGATTGTGCTGTCACAGCTTAGCAAAAAAGCACAAAGGAATGCTTTTATATATCTTTAGTTTGAAGTGATGCACAGATCTGCTCCATTCATATATTTTTATGACAGATTACCTGATACTCTTGGCACAATAATTTTTTTCCTAAAATGCTAAAAAAGCAGGAGATGCTCAACTTTTTACTCAAAGTCAAGCAGAAGAAGAAAAGTTAAAACAATCTATCATTCCCTTCTCTCCTGACAAGAAATGCCACCACACTGTAACATCCAAGAACTTTACTTCCAGTACTGCACACTGGCCCATGTGTTCTGGTACAAAGGGTGCAAAATCCAAGCCTTCACCTGCTCCCTACCTTGATCTTTTAGAATAAGTACAGATGGGTAGCTAATCTACAGGTCACTCCTTTTCTTCCTCTTTACTTTTCTGATTCCATATGAAGATAAAAGAAAGTTCAACTGTGTGTTTCTAAGGCAGTGGTTTTCAATTCTGACTACACATTAGAATTACCTAAGGAATCCAATTAACCATGCCTAGGCCCTAACCCAGACCAACAATAAATCAGAATCTCTGGGGTTAAGATCACACTGGTAATTTTAAGAAGCTCCCAGGTGATTGTAAAGAGTAGCCAGGGTTGAGAACCAGCATTATAGGTCAAATAAATTACTAAGTATTTGATCTATGTTTGGGATTGAAAGTTACCTCTCCCTATTTTAAATTATTTCTGCAAAAAGTTACATAAATATTAAAACCAGGGTTATATTTTTGTTCCCTCATTAGAGAGTTTTCAGAATAAAGGAGCATCCCCTTAACAATCTCATTTTTATACTCTACATGGTAGACTTTAGTTTCTAAATGATCTTACTTGGAATCAACAAGGAAGCATTTTTTTCCCAAGGTGCAGAATAACAAGTTGAGTTACCATGTTTTCTAACAACTAACAGAACCCGGAAATTTTATTTCCTTGTTTATTTTAGAGATAAGCATGGACTACATTTTATGCATGATTCTTCATATTAATGGAGACGTGTAAGAATAATTATTCAAGTTTTTCCTAATAGGCTTGAATCTGATGACTGAAAACAGGAGACGACTGTTTTCTTTAGCAACTAAGAATGACACTTTACTAAAATTACTTATTAAAGAATCCTAAAGAAAAGAAAGACACAATCACCAGCTAAAAAGCTTTTTAAAAAGCTTTTTTTTAAAAAAGGCAATTTTCTGATTTATTCTTACATACTTTAAGACTTATCCTTTACAAGTGTCTTATGGGACTTTTTTTACAAGTTATGATGACACTGGCAACTCTCCAACCAGCAGGACTCAGGATCAGATTCCCATACTCACATCCTCTGGGTCCTACTGCAGTGTAGCCATCCAAGGAGTAATGAGGCTGGCCCTCCCTTTTATAGTCATAGCTATTACAGACATCATGGATAGAATGTAAATACAGAGTAAATTCAGATGAACACTTACATCACAGTTTAAGGACACCTGAAGAGAGTAAACTATGTACGGGTAAGTTAGACACCTATACTGTGCCATCCAATTAACTAATCTCAGCTTGAAGACAAATCATGATTTCTTCCTGACTCTACACTGTTCTGTTTTTGCCTAGGAGATGATAGTTCCTCTTTCACTTTTCTTTCCTGCGAAATCATTCTACTTCCAATTTTAGGCCAGGTAATATTTTTCAATTCTGTATATTTTCTTTTAACTCTGGGTTCCAAGCTCACAAATGCAACATCACGTCTAAGTTGCTCTCCTCACCTCCCTAAAAGGAATCCCTAATTTGACTTTCCTCTGACTTTAGGCACCAAGCACCTTTCTCAGGTCCCCTGAACTTATTCCCATCTTCACGTGTCCTACCTGGAGACACCCACCTCAGCTACCTCTCAACTCTTCCTTCTTATAACTTACAGGTCTTGGATAAACTCTCAGATTGTTCATGATCCTGACTCCTCCTCCCAAGGCCTTCTTAAATGAAATATAGTTCATATCAACATATGAGACCTTCAGTGTATGAATAAATCCTAATCTATAATATTACAATTTTTGTAGTAATAGTCATGTACTTAAAATATCACACTCATTATTTTTAATAACATGTTTTTGAACATGAAATGGCCTCTTAATCACTGGGGGTTAGTAAGTTTCAGTACGAAAGGTAATTTTCACTCCCACAAAGGTATTTTGAAGGGCTAGCTATTTCCCTCTCAATAGACCAACTTAGTGTTTACCATAGATGACGCCACTTTTTAATTGCTGCAGAGAGAGCACTTATTACAAAATTCTGGTTTCTAAAAAGCATGGCTTGTGACACTCACACGAACACTAAAACATTTCAAAGAATTTTGTCAGTGATTAACTTTTTGAGTAGAAACTCCTGAATTAAAGCATCTCAGGAAGAGCTCTATGGTTTCCCTTGTGTTTTTTTTGTTTGTTTGTTTTTCTGTTTTTCAAATATGCCTCTGGAAAGTGACAGTTTAATATCAGATTTTAATAAATGGCTTTGTCTTCAATACATTTAGAAAACTTCTAATGTAGGCTCCAGCTTTCAGAGGGCTGCAAATAGTAACTCTGAACTGATTAACAAAAAATACTAATCAAAATGATGGTAAATGGAAAATGAAAAATAACTGGTTGGATTGGACTCACAAATCAAAATAAAATTTGTGTTTCAACTGGGCTTGATGTTGCAAAAGTCACACTAAGCATCCTTTTATTCTCCTCATAAAGGATAACATTGTGAGAGTCACATGGCAATTGGATCTCTTAAGATTTTCAGAACATACTTCTTAGTGTATTACATGACTTACAGGCTCTCATTTACCATAAAGATTTAATACCTCTGGACTTTGAACTTTTTTGCCTTTATATATAATTGTACGCTTATCACCATCATGGTTATGCGACATGAGAGAGGAAAACACCATTGAAAAGCTTCAACTTTTCTGTCAACAACAACACAAAGCGTTTTTTGCTATTGTTGTTTGTTTGTTTGTATGTTTTACTTTCAATAGCTCAACTGAATAGCTATATAAAGAAATGTTACTTATCATGCAAGCCAAGTCCTTATTTATAACAGCCTTCCCTGAATTCAAATACAAGTATACCTCCAAATCCAAACAATACAGGTCCCCAGAGACATGTGAATTCTAGATCAGCCTTCTACCAGTCAAAATTCTTAACTATAAAACATCAAATTACCACAGCAGTAATGACAGATCTGGGAATCACTGTTTTCTCACCATCTGCTTATATGACAAACAAATTATTAAATGAGGATGTTAAGACACAGGGCTCTACACAAGATAATTACAATTACAATTTTTAAAGATCAGAATCAACCTTTGAAATGACATTTTCCCACTAAATACAGTGATTTCCTTTTCATTCTCTTTAACCAAAATTGCAAGTCAATTCTGCGTTAACTAAAGCAAATAGATTATGTATCCTTTTTTGAAAGAGAATATTCAGAGATAGTGTAGAATCAGCAAAAGGAACAATGACCCTGGAATCCTAACCCTGCAACTTAACTGTGTGACTTGGAGAGAGACGATTAGCCTATCTGCATCATTTACCTCATCTGTTCACCTACCTTACAAAGAAGTTGAGGGAGAAAACAAAATAATATGCATAAAAATTCTTCCTAAATGCCCTATCTTTTATCAATATAAGATAAATCAGTCAAAAACTACAAATTATATTTCCAATAGGTAGGAAATTTTCACCTGGAAAAAGGAAAAAAATAAAGGAAAAAGAACTCAAATTATGTAGGCTATAGTAAGAGTACATGAAAAAGCATCAATTACTACATAAAATAAGATTTGTTTAAAAAAAAATCAAACTACTAAGTACCAATGTTAGAAAGGAAATGGCTACTAATATACATCATAGAGATGTAAACATATGTGTATGTGAAGTGTACATGCAAAAATCTACATGAAATCAACAGCCATGAAAGAACAGTTTTCTTGAGATCTGTTAGGCCTGTCATGTGCACACACTGCAATGCAATAGAACAGATTTATTTTCTCATTCTACAAACACTTCCTGAACACCTATATCATGTATGAAGCATTATTTTGAGTGTTTAGGACACAATGATGGGTATGAAAAATTTTGCCGCACTACTTACAAAAGAACTACATCAGAACTGCATGATGAATCTTAATTTAAATAAGGTATCTTGGCTGGGCGCGGTGGCTCATGCCTGTAATCCCAGAACTTTGGGAGGCCAAGGCGAGCAGATCAGTTGAGGTCAGGATTTTAAGACCAGCCCAGTCAACATGGTGAAACCCTATCTCTACTAAAAATACAAAAAATTAGCCTGGCGTGGTGGCAGGCACCTGTAATCCCATCTACTCAGAAGGCTGAGGCACAAGAATCGCTTGAACCCGGCAGTCCGAGGTTGCCAAGAGCTAAGATCATGCCACTGCACTCCAGCCTGGGCAACAGAGTGAGACTCTATCTAAATAAATAAATAAATAAATAAATAAATAAATAAATAAATAAAATAAGATATCTCAGCTGGTTTTGGTAGTGATGCTATTCTTCTTGTGCTAAAAAGTAATGCAACTCAAACAGTTGCACACGATCAACAATTTCTTAGGAGATGTTTTGTTGATTTTATTGGGCTTAGTTCATCTGTTCATTGGATGAATATTCATTGAGTCCCTAGTAGCCACTACAGATGCATTTCAAAGGAAACCTTTCTAAGACTATCTGAGGACATATGTATAACTAAATTATTTGGTGTTTTCTGTTGATTTTCTTTTTTAAGTAAGAAGAAAATGAAATAATAGAATAGCAGCAACATAATTCTTCAATATTAAAGTCTAGCTATAACCAGTAGACTGAAGAGATGAACCTAGTGCTGTATCTATCCTGCCTGTCCACCTCTCATCCATCTAGAGTGGCTGTCCCATTTCTATACCATAGGCCATACTGATGAAGCAGTGACTGAACACAGGACAGCTTTCAGGAAGAATTAAACTGTAGCTCTTAGATTCAGACTGCAGACTGCCCATAAAGAAGATTTCTGCCAAGTAACACAGTGAAAGCTGTTGACATTCCCTGCTTCCTTCAATATGAAACTTCCCCAACAATTCAAAGTCACAATCCATGATCTACTACTTAGAGTTCAAAGTACATCATTCATCACAATATAGTCCAAATAGTTTCTAGGAGATTAAATGACATAAACACAACAATTGAAGAGGAATAAGGAATAAAACAAGATGGATGGCAGTGGCTCACACCTGTAATCACAGGACTTTGGGAAGCCAAGCGGGGAGAATCACTTGAGCCCAGGGGTTCAAGATCAGCCTGGCAGCATGGTGAGACCCTGTCTCTACCAAACATTTGCCAGGCATAGTGGCTTATATCTGTAGTCCCTGCTACTTGGGAGGCTGAGATGGAAGGACCACTTGAGCCCCAAGGTCAAGGATGCAGTGAGCCATGGTTACACTACTGTACCCCAACCTGGGTGACAGAGTAAGATTCTGTCTCAAAAACAAACAAAAAAACACCAAGAAGTATGTAGCCATCTTCATACAGTTTTTGTAAAACGGATAAGCAGAAATCTTATATACTGAAGTGTGAGAAAACAGAATAAACCAAATGTTGGACTGGATTTAATATAAACTATTCCAAGATTGTTTAAACAGCTAGAAGTTACAACAGAGCCCATGTGGACTCAATGCGCCATACAAAGATTAATAGGAAATGGAGTTCTCAAGAATCTCATGCTGAAACAGCTCAAAATCAAAGAGACCTTTTAAAAAAAATCAAGCTGACTAAGAAAAATCAGACACTGAGTTAGGATATAAGAGGTCTTATTTCAAATGCTAGAAAAACTCATATAAGCCAGACAGTTTAAGATTCATTACTTTAAGACAAAACATTTGACCCTTCTAGAAGTTAGTTTCCTCCTGTAAAATGAGAGGGGTAAATAGTTCACAGGTTTTCAAATTTTATTTTTGGGAGTACCAGATTGCTTTGGTGTTAGGTAGAGACCAACAGAGCTATAAACCTAATTTAAATGAGAGCAGATGAAGTTTTAACTATTTTCTATATTGGGGTCCTGTGTAGAATTTCATTTTTTAAAAAAGGAGGGAGGGCTCTAATTCTGTGAAGAGCTACTCACTAAACAAGAAAAATAAACAACCTCAGGTTATATTTATTCAAAGTCACAATTAAAATAAATTCTTCTATTAAAAACAGAAACTGTTCCACTTCTGCCATGATGGAATAAGTAAAATTGTCCATACCTTCTTACTGTAAGCTACTAGAAAACTGAGGAAAAAAAATTTTTTTTCAAACATTGAGACAACAGGCAGCCCAGAATTATGATCCATGAGTGAAGGAAAAAAACTGAGTAAATCCCTTTTCCATAAGACCCTTTCCATAACAGTGCAGGCTAGGAATCCCAAGTAGATCACAGCAGTCTCACTCGGTTGAGGAGTTAAAAATAAGACTCTAGGGAGACTGAAGAGGCCAGAGTTTGTAGGGCTGAGTACTAGTGAGCTCAGAGCTTGGCAGAGAAAAACTCCAGAAATCTTCACAGAGGCCCCTTACGCCAATAGCTAACTACTAAGTTACACATATACACAGAGGAGAAAATTCTATGAGACTGGGTGACCTATTACTGGGGAGCTGCAAGCTAAATAATTCCCAGTGGTCTCACTGGGCTGCAAGATGCTTGAGTTCTGACAGACATGAATAGAGAGACTCAAACACCCTAAACACTGAGCAGAGTGTTACATCTTAGTAGGAGAGCTACCCTGCCTCCACAGGGGTGTCACCAGACCCACTATAACGAAGTTTTGATAAAAGCCTCAAAAAATGAAGCTAAACCACAGTAGCTTTGACAGCACTCAAAACAAATTTCAAAAAATTTAAAAGAAGATAATAAAATCTAGACAATAGTATAATAGTCATAATATCCAACATCCAATAAAAAATTTCAGATATGAATTTTAAAATGTGATTCATAAATGGGTGAAAAAAAGAGACTAGAACAGACCCAAAAATCTAAGAAATAATAAACTTAGTAGACCATGGAAATGTTAAAATAATTAATATAAATAGGCTCAAATATTTACAACAAAATATGAATATGATTTAAAAAATGGAAGATATATAAAAGAAAATGGAACTTTTAGAGACCAAAAACATACAGAGTATCTGGCCAGGTGTGGTGGCTCACGCCTGTAATCCCAACACTTTGGGAGGCCGAGGCAGGTGGATCGCCTGAGGTCAGGAGTTTGAGACCAGCCTGACCAACATGGTGAAACCCCGTGTCTCTACCAAATACAAAAAATTAGCCGGGCGTGGTAGCACATGCCTGTAATCCCAGCTACTTGGGCGGCTGGGGCAGGGGAATTGCTTGAACCTGGGAGGTGGAGGTTGCAGTGAGCTGCAATTGTGCCATTGCACTCCAGCCTGGGCAACAAGAGCAAAAACTCCATCTCAAAAAAAAAAAAAAAAAAACACAGAGTATCTGAACTGAAAAATGAAAATTACAGTAAATTTTAACACACTGCAATACAAACTAACAAAAATGGAAGAGTGAGAAAAAATGGACTGCAAAAAATTAATAGAGCCTAAGTAGCCTATAATAGTAAACAAGTGACATATGTGTACTTTGAATCCAAGAATAAGAGAAGGTCACAAAAGGAATTTGAGGAAACAGTGGCCAATAATTTCCCAAATTTTTATGAAAACAATAACTCACAGATGCTCAAGTAAGATATGCATAATGAAAACCACACCAAAGCCACATCAGTATCACATTAGTAAAAACCAGCAAAAAAGAGAAAATCTTAACTCATCTGTAGGAGTTCTTTAAAAAGTCTAAAGAGGACTTTTTTTGTCAGATACATACATGACAAATATTTTCTCCCAGTATCTAGTTTTCTTATCCATTTATTAACAGTGACTTTTTATAAAAAGCTTTTAATTTTTATCATGTTCAATTTATCAACGTCTTTTATGCATATTTTCTATGTTCTGTATAATAAATCATTTCTTATCTTCAGGACATGAAAATGTTATTCTGTTTTTTTCCTAGAGATGTTAAAGTTTCAGCTATCTATTTAGGTCTACAATTCATCACATATTAACTTTTGTATAGCATAAGTTAGAGGTCAAGGTACATTTTTTTCCCCAAGATATATCCAGTCCTTCTACCAGACTGGAAAACATTGTAATTTATGGAGAAATAGACTGGGTATTCAGAAGGACTTTGTCTCACTAGTGAAATAATTATGAGCCATGGACCAGATGCTGTTCTTGTACTGTTCAAAACTTTTTAAAGCAAGATCCAAAAGGATAAAATTATTTCTATATAACTTAAGTGCATCCCAGAAAAAAACTCAAGAATATTTATAGAAATACAAAAATATCTAGTACTCAATAAGGTAATTTTCAGAATGGTATCCAATCACAGAGTCTCAGAAATGTAAAGAAGCAAGAAAGTTTGAACAATAATGCTGAGAAAAATCAATTCATTGAAATCAATATAGAATGGACACAATGGGCACAAATTTTAGAAATGGTAAATATGGACATAAAACCATCATTATAACTGTATCATAGAGTCAAAAATTAAGTAGAGGTATGGGAGATACTAAAGAAGACTCAAGCTTCTAGATGTGAAAATTATAATGTCTAAGATAAAAAATATGCTGAATAAGATTAACAGTAGAGTACAGAAATTGCAGAAGAAAAGTGTAGTAAATTTAAGACATAATGGAAACTATCCAAAATGAGACACACAGGAAAAAAAAATTTATAATAAAAAAATTAAAAGAGCATCAAGTAAAATATGGGACAACTTCAAGCAACCTAACATATGTGTGATTTGAGTCCCCTAAGGAAAAGAAAAAGAAGGGAAAGAAAACATTGGGGGGAAAAAATGGCCAAATTTTTCCAAGTTTTATAAAAACTCTAAACCCATAGATCCAAGAAGCTCAACAAAACCCAAGCATGAGAAACATGGAGAAAAAGGCACCAAGGCATATCATAACCAAATTACTCAAAATCAGCAATAAAAGGAAACTCTTAAGAGCAGCCAAAGATGAGGATGAGAGGCCATTTCTCTTGAAAAACAATGACAGCAAGAAGATAATGCAGCAACTTCTTTAAAGTAATGAAAAAAAATATCAACTTAGAATTGTATAATCAGTAAAAATATCTTCAAAAATAAAGGCAAGAAAAATACTTTTTTTCAGATACATAAAAGCTGGAAGAATTCATCACTACATTAGCAAACTGCATTAAACAGTATGTTGAAAGGATAATATATTATGACCATGTGAGTTTTATCCCAAAAATGCAAATTTGGCTTACCTTGAAAAAGCAATTTGGGTTTTGTGGGTTTTTTGTGTTTTTTTTTTTTGAGACGGAGTCTCGTTTGGTCACCAGGCTAGAGTGTGGTGGCGCGATGTCAACTCTGCAACCTCCGCCTCCCAGGTTCAAGTGATTCTCCTGCCTCAGCCTCCCAAGTAGCTGGGACTACAGGTGCACACCACCATGCCCAGCTAATTTTTGTATTTTTAGTAAAGACGGGGTTTCACCATGTTGGCCAGGATGGTCTCAATCTCTTGACCTCGTGATCCGTCTGCCTCAGCCTCCCAAAGTGCTGGAATTACAGGCATGAGCCACCACACCCGCCCAGCAATTAGTTTTTTAAAAAATTAATGTAATTAACCAAATTAATAACTTAAAAATCTAACATTATTCCTAATAAAAACTCTCTATTTAACAAAGAATAGAAAGGAACTTCATCAATTTGATAAAAAGTACATTTTTTAAAAATCCAGCTAACATCTTACTTAATGGTGAAAGACTCAGTGTTTTCCTTTTCAGGGCTCAGGACATTATATCCCAAAATACGGCATCTTGGCATGAACACAAAGATCACTCTGATCTTCTCCCGCCCTTTCTTCCTGGGTCCATAAAAAGAATTCTCCCCACCTTCTCCCCTGAAGACCCTATGTGACTGGTGTCCTGCCCTATACCCAGCGGGAAGGAATGAAGACACAGAAGAATCTGAACAAACAGGCCTTTCTAAGTTTCCTCTATGATCCCAATAGATTATATCTTTTCAGTCCAATCATACTTCTACATGACTATTTATTTGTTCATCGCACCTATGAAAAAAAAAATACACAGTTTTCCCTGGGTCTTTAAGTCTTCATTTCTGAGGGCTCTTGTGTCAGATAAAACTTCGGTTAAATAAATTTGTTAGGCTTCTCTCTTGTCAGTCTGTCTTTTGTTATAGGATGTCAGCCATAAACCTTGTAATGGGCAAGGAAAAGATATTTCTTTTCCTCCCCTACATCCCTACAATCAGGAATATGACAAAGATGTCTGCTTCACCATTTTTATCCAACATTCAGCTGGAGGCTTTAGCCAGTTCAGTAACTCGAGCAAAGAGAAAAGGAAGATGTAAAAGTATCTTTATTCACAGACAACATGGCAGTCTGGGTAAAAAATCTGACAAAATTTCCAAGCTACTTCTACTAATAGAGTCCAGTAAGATTAAAAGATATAAAATAAAAGTATTTTTAAAACCCACTGCATTTCTAGATACTAGCACCGAAAATTGAAATTTTAAAAATTGCCATCTACCTTAGCAGCAAAAATAGGAAATATTTAGGAATAAACCCAGCAAAAAAAAAGTGTGTAAGATATGTACACTAGAAACTAGAAAGCACTGCTGAGAGAAATTAAAGAGACCTATACAAATAGAGCTACAGCTTGTTCACAAAAACTCCATATTGCTAAGATGCCAATTCTCCCCAAATTGATTCACAGATTCCAAACAATACAAATCAAAATACCAGCAGGCTCTTTTGTATAAATTGACAAGCTAATTCTAAAATTCATAGACAAAAGAAAATACTTAGAGGAGCCAAACAACTGGAAAAGAACACAGTTCAAAGGCTAACTGTTCCTGCTTTTAAGGATTATTATTAAGCTACCATAACAGAATGTGGTACTGGCATCAACACAAGACAAATAGATCAATGGAACAGAATAGAGAACCCAGAAATATATAAAATACATAAAATAGAGCACCCACACATATATAAAAAACTGATTTTTGACAGAAGCAATTCTGTAGAAAAAGGATGGTCTTTTTGAAAAAAGGTACAGGAACAACTGGATATCCAGATGCAAAAAAGAAAAAAAAAACCATACACATACTAATCCATACCTCTCAACATACATAAAATTAACTCAAAATACATCATATACTTAAAAGTAAAACTAAAACTACAAAAATCTAGAAGAAAAAGTAGAATATATTTGTGACCTTGGATTAACCAAAGATTTCTTAGATATGACACCAAAAGATGATCCATGAAAGAAAAACTTGCTAAAGCGGACTTCAACAAAATATTCAGAATAAATATATTACTTATATTCAGAATAAATAACTCTTAAAACAGTAAGAAAACAACTTAATTTTTAAAAAATCAGAAAATATTTAAGCAAATTTTTCACAAAATAAGATACACATATGATTGCAAAAAAAGGCAATAAAAAGATGCAAAATCATTAGCCATTAGAGAAATCTAAATTGAAACCACAGTAACATTCTACTACATATCTATTACAATGGCTAAAATTTAAAAAGACTGCCCAGCCCAAGTGCTGGCATGGATGTAAAGGAAATTGAATGTTCACATACTATTAGTGGGAATATAAAAATGGTACAATCACTTTGAAAAACAGTTTGGCAGTTTCTTTAAAAGTAAACATACACCTACAATACGATCCACTCCTAGGTGATTACCCAAAAGAAAAGTGCATGTTTATATTAAAATTTGTATACATCTGTTCATAGCAGCTCTATTTGTAATACCCAAAACTGAAAACAATTCCCACATCTGTCATCAGGCGAACAAACAAATGAATTGTGGCACAGCCATAAAAAAAAGAATCCTAGCTAGCAACAAGAAGTTAGAAAGTATTGATACTTGCACAACATGGACAATTATGCTGAACAAAAAGGCTGGATTTAAAAAAGAGTACATACTCTGTACTTCCATTTATATACAATCCTAGAAAATGCAAACTAGTCTATTATGACAGGAAGCGTATCAGTAGTTGTCTGAAGTGGGGGAAGGGAAGATTATAGAAGGACTCAAAGAAAACTTTGGGGTGTGACATTCATTTTCCTCATTGCTATGATGATCACATAGGGTATACATTATGTTTAAACTTACCAAATAGTATACTTTAAATACGTGCAGTACATTGGATGTCAACTATACCTCAATAAAGCAATTTTAAAAGGAGAAACTTTGAATAAGAGTGGTGACAACAGGCCGGGTGCACTGGCCCACGCCTGTAATCCCAACACTTTGGAAGGCCAAGGCGGGTGGATCGTTTGAGCTCAGGAGTTCAAGAACAGCAGGGGCAACATGGCGAAACCTCATCTCTGCCAAAAGTACAGAAGTTAGCTGGGTGTCTTGGTGTGAACCTGTGTTCCCAGCTACTCGGAAGGCTGAAGTGGGAGGATCACTGGAGCCCAGAAAGTCAAGGCTGCGGTGAGCCATGACCACGCCACTGCACTCCAGCCCTGGGTGACAGAGCGAGACTCTGTCTCAAAAATTTAAAAACTAAAAAAATATAAAGAGTGGTGAAAATAAAAAGGAAAGAAAAAATAAAGATTAAGAAAAGAAGAACTATTACCAATCAGACTCCCAAAAGCATAGGCAACAAACACAAACAAATGGGACTATATTAAACTAAAAAGCCTCAGCACAGTAAAGGAAACAATCAACAGAGTGAAGAGATAACATGTTGAATAAGAAAAAATATTTTCAAACTATTCATCTGACAGGAGATTAATATCCAGAATATACAAGAAACTCAAACAGAAAAACAAACAAAAAGGCAAGTGATCCAATTTAAAAATGGGCAAATGGTCTGAACAGACATTTCCCTAAAAAAGACAAACAAATTGCCAACCAATTTAGGAAAAAATGCTCAACATCACTAATCATCAGGGAATTACAAATCAAAACAATTAGGTATTATCTCATTCTAAAATGGCTATTATCAAAAAGACAAGACATAGCAAATGCTAGCAAGAATGGGGAGATAAGGGAACTCATACACTATTGGTGGGAATGGAAACTAGTACAGCCACTATGAAGAACAGTATGGAAGTTTCTCAAAAAACTACAAATAGAACTACCATTGCTGGGGCATTTTTCCAAAGGAAAAGAAATCAGTATATTGCAGAGACACCTGCAACCCTATACTTACTTACTACAGCACTATTCACAATAGCCAAGATATGAAATTAAATCAGGTGTCCGACAACAGAGATAAAGAAAATGTGGTGTATTTATACACAATGGAGTACTATTCAGCCATAAAAAAGAAGGAAATCCTGTAATTTGCAATAACAAGGATGGAACTGGCGGACATTATGTTAAGTAAAATAAGCCAAAAACAGAAAGTTAAACACCACATGTCTCATTCATATGAGGAAGCTAAAAAAATGTTGATCTCATAGAAGTAAAGTAGAACAGAAAATACTAGATGCTAAGAAGGGGAAGCACAAGGAAGGGAAAGGGAGAGATTTGTTAAAGAATACAAAATTACAGCTAGATAAGAAGAGTAAATTCTAGTGTTCTATAGTATTGTAAAATGAATACATTTAACAATAATACATAGTTTCATATAGCTAGAAAGAGGATATTAAACATTCCCAACACAAAGAAATGATAAATATTTGAGGTGATGGATATGCTAATTACCCTGATATGCAACATCATTATGTACTCAATAAATATACACAATTATTACGTGTCAGTTTTAAAAGTTAAAAAAAAGAAAAATGAGAGAGAAATGGTGAACAACTCCGATTTAGCACACACTTGTTTAATGTTTTCCACTGTGCAATATTCAAAGTATCACATAATGTTAGTGCTTAAGACAACCTTGGGTCTCATTTGGCTCTATAATCCTTATTTTGCACATGAGAAAACTGAAATCCAGAAAGCAAGCACTTATGTCATCACAAGAGCTGTGATGCATTTATCTTTATGCCCTCACCACCATTGTGAATTACAAATTAAATAACTTACTAGCTACAAAAAGGGAATAAACTAAGACTGACCTCCTAAATCCAGGGCTCTTTATATTACATCACCCAGCTTCTTAAATTCGCTAGGTCCTTTCAGAATTGTGAGAGGCATTTTATTATGTATAAAATGACTGACTAAAGATAAGCCCTATTAAAAGCTCTTCAACTAAAATTTTTCATATTTTAACTAATCAAACGCTTCATGAAGCACATTTTATACTCGATCAACAAAGAGTCTTTTTTCTAATTATGTTCAAAAACTTCACAACTACTTTATTATATAAATGCATATTTAATTCCTTTATAGGCAATCAAGAGGTTAAAATATCAGCTAACAGGGGCAATCTGACCTTGATTTTTCAAATAATGAACTGGCTACGTATGAAATAATCTGTATAAGAAATAAGTTGTATAAGAAAACATGATTTAGTAAATAAGTATTACAAATATACTAAATATTTTGTCTGTTACATTAAGCCGATGGTTCTCAAACTTCAGACTGCATCAGAATCACCTGAGGAGTTTGGTAAAAAGCCACTGTAAGGAAATTGGGAATGAGAAAAAAGATGACAGTGCACTCAAGATGAAAAAATATGGACTTTGTGGTACAAAACCTTCCACGTTTTCTAATTCTAGCTTTTCATTGACTTCGAGCTATACTGCAACTCAAATTGTTGATTAACTGCTGTAGATAACTGAGAGCAATGTAAATTATTCTAGTCTGGAGACATGCAAGAAAATTCTGTCCCATGGAGGTTCAACTGACTACCCCCAATAGAAAGTCAGTTTGCTGACCACTTGGAAATTTAGTTCAATATCCTTTACTCCACATAAATTTGTGCTTCTTTGAACTGTTTATAATATCTGACTAGTTCCATCATTAATGACTTAAATAAAATCTTCAAAATGTGTTCAATACTTAGATAACTCATTATTTGTATCTAGATAAGAGTGTTAATTTTACATCTCTTTGAAACCCTAAGTCAGTGGGGTTTTTTTTCACATATGGTTCTAAAACCAGCCTCATTAACATCACCTGGAAACTTGTTAGAAATGCACATTCTCAGGCTACATTTAGACCTACTTTTCTAACCAAACTTCCAGGTAATTCTGATGCAAGCTAAAATCTGAAAGCTACTGGACTAAAAGAGTCCTCAAAACTGTGATAACCATTGTTTTAGAGTTAACTATTTTGATTGTTTTCTGTTGTAAAGTCAAAGGGTTCACCAAATTTAATCAGTAGTTTTACATGGGAGTAAAATAACCTAAAAGATTTAATGCAAATTTTAAAACTCCTGAACAGCTAAGGACTGAAAAAAAAAATCAGGCTAAATTATGGGGTGGGAGGCAGGTTATCAATCCAGGATGTTAGGATATGAAACAGTATAAGTATATGTATATGTATTTGTATTACATCTATTCTAAAGCTGAAACTCTGCCTACTTTACACCTACAGAATGGTTTACTCTCAACATATATTTTGACTCATAACTTCTTATTTTCATTTTTTTAGAAAGTAGACGTTTCTCATTTCACTTTTCCACTGTTTTCAATAAAGGTTAAGAAAATGTAACAGAAGTAAATACCTACATAATTCAGACACTCAAATTCTGTTTCTATACTCACTAGGAATTATTTAGCCTAGTTTTCAGATCTAATCAGATCTGCTGGAAATTGGCTCATCCCTCCAATTCACTAATTACTTAAATACACACAGTGTCACCACTTGGAAACATTACTAAAACAAAAAAAACTTACTAAACTGTTGAGCTGGTGTCTTATCCAATAATTTTTAATAAATTGGAAAGGTCTCTTCTTAAATACTTAAGTTACAAATATGTAAAATAAGCACCAGAATATGAGAAGATATGGAGGATCTATTGTCAAATTATAAAAGACTTTTAATATTCTTGATTTTTGTTTTGTTTTAACTGAGGTATTTCCTCCAGAATTGTAATATACACATATTTGGGTTATGTCTTCATATTCCCAATATCTCCTTCTAACAAAATTTTCTGGTATTTTAATTGTAATAAAGACCAAACATCAGCAGGCAGAGTTTCCCATCTGGAAACAGATGAAAAATTCCTAGGCCTTTAGCCCACAAGTGTCCAGGGTAATGAACCTCTGATCCAATTCCAAGTATTTACTGTGTTAACTATTTTTTTAATCAAATAAATAAAACTTATACACAGTAGGATGTGTTTTATCACCTTTAAGTTAGAATATTAAGTGACTTACAATGCAAAACATGACAAGAACTGTACTTCAAATGACAGTTAATATTTTACAAAGAGAATAAAGCTGGAAATCTGAATAACATCTCAAATGTATGTAATAAGATAAGGAGGAATTGAGAAAAAACAATAATAGTAAGTTAGCAAATAAGCTAACAACTATTCTAAACATGTTTTCAAAAGAAGAGAACATCTTTTTAAAGTTAAAAAATGGCTCATACATAATAGTGTACAAATTGCATTTTATAAAACATTTTTACATGTCCCATACCACTATAAATAATTTCATAAATATCCCTTTCAATGGTTGCATAAAATAGCATTCAGGGAAGATACCTAAAATGTGTCACTTTTAGGGTAAGGGTATGTGACTGTTCACTAGTTTAAATAACGCTACAGAGAACTTTCATCCTTTTGAATTATTTACATAGAATACACTATGAGAAGTAGGCTTACTAGCTCAAAGGATACGAATACATCTTGATTTTTACTGGAAGAAATACCTCCTCTCCTACTATCACACTTGATGCAAAAGGAGTATTACTTTATCTATATAGTTAAGATACTGTTTTCTTAATAGGATTTAATTTCTAAATCTTCAACCATATTTGCAGTTTCACTAAATTTACAATTTTTTCTTTTAAATAAATTTTGAGACGCTGCTTATCTGCTGAATAGGACACAACAGAATGAATTACTTTATGTGACATAAACAGCAGAGCCACAGCCAAAGCTAGGTTTAAAAGAGAAAAAGGTTTGAAAACGACAAATATTCCCTACTTTGTCAACCACACAATGTTCTCCTCTGGTTGATATTTTATCAATTTCTGACCATTTGCAAACATTTTATTTTTATTCCTAAACTTCACTGGTCTCTTACTTTGAGATCACCAAGGAACTGGATAGTTCATGTTATCAATTATAAGAGAAAAGTGGCCCAATCCATACCCCGACAAGAGAACAGCTCCACACCAAAGGCTGCTGCCCAAACCCTACTGGCCAGCTCCTATATGGCTGGTGAGCAATGGATACTTTTACAACATTAAAGATCTGGCATAAGCCAATCTTATAATAAAAAAGACAAAACAAAGTTACCTAAAACTAGAAGCAGCAGCAGCTTTTTAAAAGTATATAGTCTATTCAAAAGTCAAAATCATAAATCTATTTCTTTTTCCCTTTTCTTTTTAATTGACACATAATAATTGTACATATTCATGGAATACAGTGTGCTATTTCAATGCCTGTGTATCCAGTGTATAATGATTAAATCTGGATAATTAAGATATGCAGCACCTCAAACATTTATCATTTTGTGCTGTGAACATTCAAAATCTTCTAGCTTTTTGAAAATATACACTAAATTACTGTTACCCATAATCATCCTACATTGCTGTACAACACTGGAATTTATTCCTCTCTTCTAGCTATAATTTTGTATCTGTTAACCAACCTCTCCTAGCCTCTAATAACCACAATTCTACTCTCTACCTCTATCCGCTCATGTTTTAGCTCCTATATATGAGTGAGAACACAGTATTTATCTTTCTGTGCCTGACTTAGTTCACTTAGTATAATGTCCTCCAGGTTCATCCATGTTGCAGAGAAGCATGAATCTATTTCTGAATGTCAATATTTTAATCCATGTAACAATAATTTTAATAATTTTATTATAAGAGAGCATGAAGTCAAGTGGACAAGAATATTGGAAAAGGAAGAGACAACAGAACAGGTTCTTCTAGAATTTGAGCAATGGAAATGCAAGTTTAACTAAAAAGAAAATAATGGTAGTGGTAAAAGTATAACACAACCTTGAAAGAACCTACCTAACATATTATTCACCAAAACCAGTGCTACAAACTTTCCCCAACCATCAAAATTTTCTCCATTATATTTTTTGCTTGCTGATATCAAGTTAGCTTCCAAAGATTTTAAAACTTGTGCAAACTCACTTACACTGAATATCTGAAAAAAGCTATTATGTCTCCTCCTCCCAACAGCCAAATCTTCCTCAAGATAAATATCTCATTTTTCTGAAAACTTTCTCATATCCATCCATACATGGCAATTGCCATTAGCTATTAAAATTAAGTTGAAGAATATTTAACAATCTGAAAGAAAATTTTATGATTCCATTTTTTTATAGAGTAATAGAGAAGAATTGGGGCAAGTGCCCTCAATCATAAGAAACTCTCCTCTAAGACCTATCTCACGTGCAGAGACACACACAGGCTCAAAATAAAGGGACGGAGGAAGATGTACCAAGCAAATGGAAAGCAAAAAAAAATAAAAGCAGGAGTTGCAATCCCAGTCTCTGATAAAACAGATTTTAAACCAACAAAGATCAAAAGAAACAAAGAAGTCCATCACATAATGGTAAAGGGATCAATTCAACAAGAAGAGCTAAGTATCCTAAATATATATGCATCCAATACAGGAGCACCCAGATTCATAAGGTAAGTCCTGAGAGATCTAAAAAGAGACTTACACTCCCACACAATAATAATGGGAGACTTTAATACCCCACTGTGAATATTAGACAGATCAACGAGACGGAAGGTTAACAAGGATATCCAGGACTTGAACTCAGCTCTGCACCAAGCAGACCTAATAGACATCTACAGAACTCTCCACCCCAAATCAACAAAATATACATTATTCTCAGCATCACATTGCACTTATTCCAAAATTGACCACATAGTAAAGCACTCCTCAGCAAATGTAAAAGAACAGAAATAATAAACTGTCTCTCAGACCACAGTGCAATCAAACTAGAACTCAGGGTTAAGAAACTCACTCAAAACTGCACAACTACATGGAAACTGAACAATCTGCTCCTGAATGACGACTGGGTAAATAACAAAATGAAGGCAGAAATAAAGATGTACTTTGAAACCAATGAGAACGAAGACACAACATACCAGAATTTCTGGGACATATTTAAAACAGTGCGTAGAAGGAAATTTACAGCACTAAATGCCCACAAGAGAAAGCAGGAAAGATCAAAAATTGACACCCTAACATCACAATTAAAAGAACTAGAGAAGCAAGAGCAAACAAATTCAAAAGTTAGCAGAAGGCAAGAAATAACTAAGATCAGAAAAGAACTGAAGGAGATAGAGACACAAAAAACCCTTCAAAAAAATCAATGAATCCAGGAGCTGCTTTTTTGAAAAGATCAACAAAATTGATAGACCACTACCAAGACTAATAAAGAAGGAAAGAGAGAAGAATCAAATAGATGCAATAAAAAATGATAAAGGGGATATCACCACCGATCTCAAGGAAATACAAACTACCATCAGAGAATACTATAAACACCTCTATGCAAATAAATTAGGAAATCTGGAAGAAATGGATAAATTCCTGGACACATACACCCTCCCAAGACTAAACAAGGAAGAAGCTGAATCTCTGAATAGACCAATAACAGGCTCTGAAATTGAGGCAATAATTAAGAGCCTACCAACCAAAAAAACTCCGAGACCAGATGGATTCACAGCCAAATTCTATCAGAGGTACAGAAAGGAGCTGGTCCCATTCCTTTTGAAACTATTCCAATCAATAGAAAAAGAGAGAATTCTCCCTAACTCATTTTATGAGGCAAACATCACCCTGATACCAAAGCCTGGCAGAGACACAGCAAAAAAAGAGAATTTTAGACCAATATCCCTGACGAACATTGATGCAAAAATCCTCAATAAAATATTGGCAAACCGAATCCAGCAGCACATCAAAAAGCTTATCCACTAAGATCAAGTGGGCTTCATCCCTGGGATGCAAGGCTGGTTCAACATACGCAAATCAATAAATGTAATCCAGCATGTAAACAGAACCAAAGACAAAAACCACATGATTATCTCAATAGATGCAAAAAAGGCCTTCGATAAAATTCAACAGGCCTTCATGCTAAAAACTCTCAATAAACTAGGTATTGATGGAACCTATCTCAAAATAATAAGAGCTATTTATGACAAACCCACAGCCAGTATCATACTGAATGGGCAAAAACTGAAAGCATTCCCTTTGAAAACTGGCACAAGACAGGGATGCCCTCTCTCACCACTCCTATTCAACATAGTGTTGGAAGTTCTGGCCAGGGAAATCAGGCAAGAGAAAGAAATAAAAGGTATTCGATTAGGAAACGAGGAAGTCAAACTGTCCCTGTTTGCAGATGACATGATTGTATATTTAGAAAATCCCATCATCTCAGCCCAAAATCTCCTTAGGCTGATAAGCAACTTCAGCAAAGTCGCAGGATACAAAATCAATGTGCAAAAATCACAAGCATTCTTATACACCAATAACAGACAGACAGAGAGCCAAATCATGAGTGTACCCTCATTCACAATTGCTACAAAGAGAATAAAATACCCAGGAATACAACTTACAAGGGATGTGAACGACCTCTTCAAGGAGAACTACAAACCACTGCTCAATGAAATAAAAGATGACACAAACAAATTGAAGAATATTCCATGCTCATGGATAGGAAGAATCAGTATCATGAAAATGGCCATACTGCTCAAGGTAATTTATAGATTCAATGCCATCCCCATCAAGCTACCAATGACTTTCTTCACAGAATTGGAAAAAACTACTTTAAAGTTCATATGGAACCAAAAAAGAGCCCAAATGGCCAAGACAATCCTAAGCAAAAAGAACAATGCTGGAGGCATCAAGTTACCTGACTTCAAACTATACTACAAGGCTACAGTAACCAAAACAGCATGGTACTGGTACAAAAACAGAGATATAGACCAATAGAACAGAACAGAGCCCTCAGAAATAACACCACACATCTACAACCATCTGATCTTTGACAAATTTGACAAAAACAAGCAATGAGGAATTTATTAAATAGGAATTCCCTATTTAATAAATGTTGCTGGGGAAACTGGCTAGCCATATGTAGAAAGCTGAAACTGGATCCTTTCCTTATACCTTATACAAAAATTAATTCAAGATGGATTAAAGACTTAAATGTTAGACCTAAAACCATAAAAACCCTAGAAGAAAACCTAGGCAATACCCATTCAGGACATAAGCATGGGCAAGGACTTCATGACTAAAACACCAAAAGCAATGGCAACAAAAGCCAAAATGGGATCTAATTAAACTGAAGAGCTTCTGCACAGCAAAAGAAACTACCATCAGAGTGAACAGGCAACCTACAGAATGGGAGAAAATTTTTGCAATCTACTCATCTGACAAAGGGCTAATATCCAGAATCTACAAAGAACTCAAACAAATTTACAAGAAAAAATCAAACAACCCCATCAAAAAGTGGGCAAAGGATATGAACAGACACTTTTCAAAAGAAGACATTTATGCAGCCAACAGACACATGAAAAAATGCTCATCATCACTGGTCATCAGAGAAATGCAAATCAAAACCACAATGAGATACCATCTCATGCCAGTTAGAATGGCGATCATTAAAAAGTCAGGAAACAACGGGTGCTGGAGAGGATGTGGAGAAATGGGAACACTTTTACATTGTGGGTGGGACTGTAAAGTAGTTCAACCATTGTGGAAGACAGTGTGGCAATTCCTCAAGGATCTAGAACTAGAAATACCATTTGACCCAGTGATCCCATTACTGGGTATATACCCAAAGAATTATAAATCATACTACTATAAAGACACATGCACACCTATGTTTACTGTGGCACTATTCACAATAGCAAAGACTTGGAACCAACCCAAATGTCCATCAATGATAGACTGGATTAAGAAAATGTGTCACATATACACCATGGAATACTATGCAGCCATAAAAAATGATGAGTTCATGTCCTTTGTAGGGACATGGATGAAGCTGGAAACCATCATTCTGAGCAAACTATAGCAAGGATGGAAAACCAAACACTGCATGTTCTTGCTCATAGATGGGAATTGAACGATGAGAACTCTTGGGCACAGGGCGGGGAACATCACACACTGAGGCCTGTAGTGGGGTGGGGGGTTGGGGGAGGGATAGCATTAGGAGAAATACCTAATGTAAATGATGAGTTAATGGGTGCGGCAAACCAACATGGCACGTGTATACATATGCAACAAACCTGCACATTGTGCACAGGTACCCTAGAACTTAAAGTATAATTAAAAAAAATTAAATTAAATTAAAAAAAGAAACTCTTCTCTGTAATAATCACAGCAACTTGTAACAACCTCAATTTTGCTTCATGACTGCTATGAAAATATGGACACTAGTGTGAAAAGACAAGAAATACAAAATTGTATTAGAATATATGTACATATGTATGTATAATAGCCTAAGATGAAGACTTCACCTGAAAATAACACCAGCTGGAGGTTGAAAAGAAAATTATCTGTAATACAAGGTGAAAATATGCCCACAAGATAATTATCTGTAATAATAAGTTTTTTTTAAAAAAAACGTAGGCCAGGCACAGTGGCTCATGCCTGTAAACCCAACACTTTGGGAGGCTGAGGCAGGCTCATCAGAGGTCAGGAGTTTGAGACCAGCCTGGCCAACATGGTGAAACCCCATCTGTACTAAAAATACAAAAATTAGCCGGCTGCGGTAGCGCACTCCTGTAGTCTCAGCAATTCAGGAGGCTGAGGCAGGAGAATTGCTTGAACCTGAGAGACAGAGGTTGCAGTGAGCCGAGATCGAGATCTTGCCACTGCACTACAGCCTGGGCGACAGAGTGAGACTGTGTCTCAAAAAAAATAAATAAATAAGTACACTGGGCCCCCTGCCTAAGAAGGTTTATGGGAACAAGGGTACCCTACTCAACAGAAAGAATGTGACATCTGAGACCAAAAACCTAAGCTTCTAGCTCACATTTTCTTCTTTAAGCTAGATACAAATGAGATGATGAAAAACTGTGAGCAAGCAACCATCTCCCATTATTCTCTAGCACAGCTGCACAGCAATTTACAAATATTTATTCACTTGCTTATTATCTCTTCCACTACACTGAAATTCCTGGAGATAAGGACGGCCTGTTTGTTCACCTTCAAATAGGCAGTGGTAAGTTCAGAGCGTGGCACACAGATGCCACTCAACAAAGATTAGTTATACAAATATATGACTCTTCTATATGCATTTTTAAAATTATCTGATGGTAGAGATCACTTTCTTATGGTCAGTGGGCTTTGAGTAATATTCAATATTTTTATCCTTCTCATAAGAACCCAGATCAAAGAAGTTATTTTTATGTACACTGTCACAGTAACATACTCCATAGTTGTGCGGCACCTCAGAGATAAGGTAGGCCAGGATTTTTCAAAAAGCAAGTTATGACTCAGTAAGGGTTATGAAATCAATTTAGCTCATGTCCAACTTTTTCTAAAAAAAAAAAAAAACACTAAACTGGGCATGGTAGCATGCGCCTGTAGTCCCAGCTACTTGGGAGGCTGAGGTGAGAGGATTACCTGAGCCCAGGAGGTTGCGTCACCACACTCTAGCCTGAGCGACAGAGTGAGACCCTGTCTCAAAAACTGAATATTTTATAAACAGCTAGAAAAGTATTAGAATGTACTGTACAATGTAAAAGTAAGTACTATTTCATGAAACTTTTATTTTATATATATAACTGTAATATTAATACAATATTAATACACACACACGCACATAAATGTGCCAATGCACTGCTTAGAGCAAGCTTGTCCAACCTGTGGCCCACGGGCCGCATGAGGCCCAGGGTGGCTTTGAAAGCGGCCCAACACAAATTCGTAAACTTTCTTAAACATTATGAGATTTTCTGTGATTTTTTTTTTTTTTTTTTTAGCTCATCAGCTATTGTTAGTATATTTCATGTGTGGCCCAAGGCGATTCTTCTTCCAGTGTGACCCAGGGAAGCCAAAAGATTGGACACCCCAGCTTAGAGTGTAGAGTTGTGGCCAAATTTTAAGAACAAGCATCAATCTAGACAATTACGCCAATGGTAAAAGAAGCATTAGTCTAGACAATTATACCAATTCACAAGTATTATGAATTTTCTGACTTAATATTTCAATCCTTACAGGTAAATACTAAAAAGGTACCCCAAAACCAAAAAAAAATACCTTTAACATTGTCAACCAAAGTAACATATACTCAACCATTCTTTTTCTCTTGTCAGATAATTGAGTTATGCCTGCACACCACCAAACTAGCATTTGGCTTTCACTATTTTAAATAACTGGCCATAGGACATAGGAGACATCTGCACAGTTACAATTAAAAACAAAAGCTGAGTAAAGAGCCTTACTCCTTCACCTAAGCCACCACAGAATTTGGTGTTTCCCCTGGAGAAAATTAAGAGGTAATAATGACACTTGCCTCATTGGGTATTCAGAGATCTTCCATGGGGTGACCTTGATAATAACAGATTACAAGTAACTCTAAGTCAACTGAAAACAGCTTTCTAAAAAACTTTTTTTAAGTCCACACTATCTAGAAATAACCTAAAATTACTGTCAAAGCTTTGCATCCATTTGCTAAGTAGCATTTAACATTAGTGCTTATTATCTTTTGTAAAAACCTAAGGGTGATACACTCAAACCACAAATCCCATTGAGAGATCTCCAAGAAAATTCACAGAGACAGCACTGATTAACAGCTACACTCTCCTATAAAGACTCACTAATGGAGATATACAGGATATACCTGGCTATTAATAAACTGAATTTAATACAATTTATTGCAGAAAAACTAAAAATGTAATCTGGCACTACAAATATATGACAAATCTGATTAACAAAATAAAAGAGTTTGCTCAAACAAGTAAACTCTAATAGTAAACCAACTGTCTCTCCCTTCAGAATTTGCCCAGAAAGCACCATAAACTTGATCTAAACAACTCAAATTCTATCACTACAAATGTTGATGTTGGCTGGACATGGTAGCTCATGCCTATAATCCCAGCACTTTGTGGGGCCAAGGCGGAGGAATCACTTGAGGTCAGCAGTTCGAGACCAGCCTGGCCAACATGGCAAAACCCCATCTTTACCAAAAATACAAAAATTAGCTGGGCCTGGTGGCACATGCCTGTAATCCTAGCTACTCGGGAGGCTGAGGCAGGAGAATAGCTTGAACCCAGGAGGCGAAGGTTGTAGTGAGCTGAGATCACGCCACTGCACTCCAGCCTGCGCAACAGAGCGAGACCGTGTCTCACAAAACAAAACAAAAACTGTTGATGTTTTAAGAAGAAGCACTACTCTGAACATCTAAATTAAATGGATTCTGGAAAATAAATCAGTCTAGAATTTTCAGAAATGTTGAAAAGTTGAAACAGTATTCAGAATACTTACACTAGGTCATTATTTCATTCTAAATATGACTGGTGTTTATTTTGGGAAAAGCACTCAGCGAAGAAACCACTGAATGAAAATGAATGCAGCCCACAAAAAAAAGATCAAGATAGAAAAAAGTGTCGAGAAATGAATTGGCAATGTAAAATTTTTAAGCAGCCTCCAAGAAAAGGAGTAAGTTTTTAGGAAAAATACTATCATGCCTAGAATTATTTATCAGGCTTTCATAACTTTACTGAAGGAGAATCTGTAATATTTATTCAGTCTTTCAAGCATTTATTCTTTCAGTAGCCATTTACATGTCACATAAAAATTTAGTCTACTCTATAATCATAAATCAATTAAAAACATGCAGGCTCTATATTTAGTAGATAGCCATAATTTGGCTTTTTGGTACAATTCAATCTCAGGTAAACTGAAACAATTTACTCTCCTAGATTATTCCTTAGCTAGGTATCTTATAAGAAATCACTTTATGGCCTAGGAGAATTATGCCACTCCCCATTCCCTATCCCTCAACGTTCACAGGCTTTGCATCACAATCTACTTTGAAGACACTGGAGCTAAACACTCACTTTATCCCCTTCATATCAGTCACCACAAGAAGCCCAAGATGGGCCGGGCATGGTGGCTCACGCCTGTAATCCCAGCACTTTGGGAGGCCGAGGCGGGTGGATCATGAGGTCAGGGATTCAAGACCAGCCTGGCCAATATGGTGAAATCCCATCTCTACTAAAAATACAAAAATTAGCCGGGCATGGTGGCACGTGCCTGTAGTCCCAGCTACTCAGGAGGCTGAGGCAGAAGAATCGCTTGAACCTGGGAGGCAGTGGTTGCAGTGAGCCGAGATCACGCCACTGAACTCCAGCCTGGGTGACAGAGCAAGATTCCATTTCAAAAAAAAAAAAAAAAGAAAATGAAAAAGAAGACCAAGATACCCAAGTCATCCTTCACCACCTAGCCTCTTATCACCATAACATTCTCTATATCCCCTGATTTGGCCTCATATCCCAACCATCCTCTCAGGAACTCATTGTCAATTGTCTACAGATTGATAAACAGTCTGACTTGTTAATCTTCAATTTAATTATCTCCTCTAAATTCTCTCCTGAACTCACCCCATTCAAGCTTTTGTCCCACCTCTCCATGAAAATGACTCCATTCAAAGATTACCAATGTCTTCAATGTTGCTCAATGGTCAATTCTCATCTTAGTCGAACCATCAGCAACATTTAACAAAACTGATCACCCCATTTTCTTGAAACATGTTTCTTAACTTGGCTTTTGGGGAACCATCTACCTCAGCTATTCTTGATGGTCACAGTTGCTCTTCTTGGTCTACTTTGCTGATTCCTTGTCTTCCCAGCCCCTCAATAATGGAGAGCTCTGGGGCTTGTGACTCGAATCTCTTCTTTTCCTATATTCACTCTCTAGTGACAACTGCCAAATTTCTCTTCAACCCAGACATCTCCCCTAAACTGCCTTTCGAACACCTCAATTTGAATGTCTAACAGGCACCTCAAGTTTAATATGTAAAAACCATATCCTTGATCCCCTCTTACTCCCACAAGCCCCCATATCCTTCAGTCTTCCCCACTGTAGGGAAAGGCAATTACAGGATTCTAGCTGTTTAGACCAAAAACCTGGCTGATATCCTTTACTCTCATATACCATAGCCAATCTGTTAGCCAAGTTGGATCTACCTTCCCAATATATCGCAACACACACTTACTTATTCAATTCTCATTTATTCTCTAGATCCCCAGCAAGAATATAACCTACATAAAGAAGGGACCATGTCTGTTTTGGTCACTGTAGTATCCCCAATACCTAGAATAGAGCCTGACACCAAGCAGATACTCAATAAATACATGTAGAGTGAATGATTAATAAATAAAAGATTCCAGATCCTTGATTCCATTCAAAATAACAGCCATCCCATCAAAGTAAAACATTCCCTGAGGCTGAAGTTAAAACAGCCTTACTCCCTGCTAAAAAGAACCTCTTTTATTTAATGAACACATATATTCACCAACCACAACCAGTCAAAACAAAATATGCATTAAGAATAAAACATGTTAGGCTGAGATAGGTGGATCACGAGGTCAGGAGATCGAGACCATCCTGGCTAACACACTGAAACCCCGTCTCCACTAAAAATATAAAAAATTAGCCAGACGTGGTGGCACATGCCTATAGTCTCAGCTACTCGGGAGGCTGAGGCAGGAGAATCGCCTGAACCCAGGAGTCAGAGGTGCAGTGGGCCGAGATCACACCACTGCACTCCAGCCTGGGTGACAGAGCGAGACTTCATCTCAAAAAAAAAAAAAAAGAATAAAACATGTTAAATATAACAGATAATGTATTATGCATGACTCACCAAAGAACTAAAATCCAACATAATAAACAATGCCGTAATAATTTTTGTATTATTTTATGTTATTAATAATTTAGTAGGTATTTTAGTTTTCTGTCCTGTACAATACCAGTCATCACCATACTTGACAGATAACAGATAATTTCCCAAATAAACTTTATATCATAAGCCCTTATCAGTCTCTTTTAAAGACAGAAAGTGATTAACTCTGTTAATCAATGCTGGCTAAAAAAAATACAGGAGCACTAACCATTTTGTAACCAAACCTGAACACACAATCCCTGATATAGAGACATAAACTTAATAATGACCCAACATTTAGAGAGAAAAGAGAAAGTAAAGAAAGAGGAAGACAGAGAAACCGGGGCTACTTTCTAAAATAGTAATCACTAGGGGAATGAATAACCTGAAATTGTACCTTTATAATTGAGAGGAAGGGGTTAAAAATGTACAATTAATAAATTACTGGTTTTTATGAATGACCAGTGACATCTTCTGAGAAGACCCCAATCCAGCTAAGCAAAGATAACCTATTTCTTTCAAACTGATTTGGGATATATTTTCCCACAGAAACAAAAATATCAACTCAATAAATGGAAATTGTACAGTTAATACTTAAAGTACATTTGGGTGAAAAATATTTGTGAACTGGCCTGGGAACATAGCCAGTAATTTTTGTACTGCTTCAATAAGGAAAAAAAAAATGTGTTCTGAGTTCCAAACAGCTGTCTTACACATAAACTTCTGAAACACAACTAGCTCATGTTCTGGAAACTGTGTATACAGGTTATATTTCAAGGGATTCAATTTGGCCCACAGCATTTCTGAATATGTTTAAGAATGAGTCACTTTACACTAGACCTCTTCCACTCAGATGCAGTTTCAAAGACCTCTAGCTTCAAGGATCTTAATCCTTAAAAAAAAAAAAAAAAAAAAAAAAAAACAAAAAAAAACTACAGCCTGTCCAGAGGTAAATGGAAATGTTGAACATTTTATAAATCTGCAGCAAAGCTAAAAGAACAGCTTCAAGCTACCAGGCTACTTTTCTTCATCTATGAATAAACTAGAGTAAACTTCCTTTATCACAGTGATTCATATCAATTTTTAGGTTATAGCACAATGTCACTGCTTATTTGATTTTGAGACCAGAGTATGTTATATACTAAGATTCTTCTAAAGACTGCAACACAGTATTTTTTTTCCAAATTAAGAGAAGAGTTCATTTTTTCAATAATTTAAAAATGCTAGCTAAACTTATCTGAAAAGCTCCCTAAGGGTCCTGAAAAATATGGATTAAGAATCATTTATATATAGGGACATATCAGATACTATAAACTTTCCTCTCAAATTCTATTACTGCTTACCAGAGCCCAGGATCTTAAAACTACAATCAATTTCCTGTATGGTGTCTATATTTCCTCAAATTAAAACACCATTTCTGTTTTCTCTTCTCTATAACTTTCTCTTCTCTATAACTTGTCTTGACTTATTTATGAGTTATTTTAATGTGCCTCTACTGAACAACTCAAATAGCTGACTTTAGTGATTGAAAATGCTGTTATCCAGTCAAGACCAGCTTGACTGTGGCAAAGACATTTATGTACGTTTCCCAGGAGTTAAGAAAATAAAACAAGAAGCGTCAATGTTTTTTTAGAAGAGAAACAAGAATGAAACTGTGTTGACCTGACGTAACTAAAGAGACCCATCACTGCCCCAGTGTTTCTTAGATGAATTAATCAGAAGAAAAGGACATGCTCTTGTTCTTTTTCCAACACCTTCCTCTGATACATCATCCACTCTCACACTACAATCCAACACAAAGATCTATTTTTATTGGACAGCTCGTTCCATTTGGATGTCCTGTCATCAAACTCATTGCAATATATAAAGATAACACTCAACTTATCCAAAACTAAACTTACCATTTCATCTTATAAAACTATTCTCCTAATTTCCATTTCTCTATCTATGATTATCCTGGTGTCTCTGGCTAGGAACTTGTTTACCATTTACATCAGAAATGCCGAGACTGCCTTTAAAAATGCAATTTCTGTCCTCTTACCCAACCTGCCAAAATCAGAACCTTACCAAGCTCCTTAGGCGATCCTAATACACACTCAAGTTTCAGAACCTCTATCTCAGATTCATCCTTAACTCATGCAGTTCATCCAATATCACATCCTTCATCTCTCAAAGCCTACTATTGTTGCCAGAGTGCAGGATCCTAAAACCACAATCAATTTCCTAAATGGTGTCTACATTTCCTCAAATTAAAATTTCTGAGGTCAGGCATAGTGGCTCATGCCTGCAATCCTAGCACTTAGGGAGGCTGAAGTGGAAGGATTGCTTGAGCTCAGTAGTCTGAGACCAGCCTAGGCAACATAATGAGACCCTGTCTCTACGAAAAATAAAAAATTAGCTGGATGTGACAGCATGCGCCTGTAATTCCAGCTACTTGGGAGGCTGAGATGGAAAGATCACTTGAGCCTTGAGGTTGAGGCAACAGTGAGCTATGATTGTGCCACTGCACTCCAGCCTGGGCAATAGAGCGAGACATTTTCTCAAAAAAAAAAAAAAAGAAAGAAAGAAAAAAAATAAAATTTCTAAAACACCACTTTTGTTTTCTCTGTTCTATAACTTGACTTATATACCATAAATAAAGGTCATCTTCCTAATTCTGACACTATCTAATCCCTATCTCTCTCTTGTCCCCTATGAATTATCTACTCTGATTACAAATGTTCATTCAACATGCTAATTCCTATCTCACTTACTATATTCATTTTAGTCTGTCATTCTCCACCACCAACAGTTCAACTCTCCAAAATCTATAACGTTCACTTTTTTTCTTATCCATCTATTCTTCAAGGGAATGCTTAAGTCCCAAACTCGCTTTTTGGTTCTCAACACATGACATCATTACAATTCAAGGCATTTTTTTAGCCTATCATTCTCTCTACATCTCCTAAACAATAATCTTATTAAATCACTTTTTAAAAATAAGCAGTTCAGCCCTTTTCAACTCTAGTTTATAACCTAAGGTAGAAAATAACTTAGTAAACAATAACCAAAATATAAAAACACATTATTTTTATGATGTGGTAGATATATTTCTTGCTTCAATATTTTGTGGAGGTTTCTTGTTTTCACAGTATTTAAGACAAGGGACAAAATCTCATAAAGCAAAAAAGTGAAGGAAGTGAAATCTCAGCATTGTTTTAAATGACTGAAACATCCTGGAAAAGTACGAAGTAATTTCTACTTCCGGTTTTTAAAAATATATTGTGTCCAGGAAGTCATTATTTCCTTACCATTAAGAATCTATTCATTCCATTGGTCTTTATAACTGTTATGGAATGGAAAGAACATGAAACTTGGATTCAGTAAGAGTGTATTAAATTTAGAATGGGATGACTTTTTGACAAGATCCTCTAACTCTCTAAGATCCAGTCTCCCCATCAGTAACATGGTAGTTACCAGGTCCCATGACTTGGCAACACTTAATAGTCAGATCACCTAAATCCTAAAATGTTCCAGGTGCTCTCAACCTGTCTTCAGATTAATCTTCCTCTAGGCTGCCAGTGTACACCTACTGCAAATCTACTTAATCGGCCATTCATTCTCTTCTTGCTCAGAAAGGCCAGTTCCTGGGAAGAAAACTCAAACCCAGGAAACACAGCTGGAATAAGTTAGTATCCTAGTCACTGTGCTAATGCTAGCAAAATCATAAATCTATTATTCACGGGATAATGCTTAGCTACTTGTGACAAATTGAAGGTTGAGAAAATATTTGCACAAAGAACCATCATACCAGCTGAGTCAGGGCCAAGGTAGAGGTCACTGCTAGAGAACAAGAAGCCTGTCACATTTGCAGGGAAAAAAAAAAAAAATTGGTCCTAACAGCATAAGTTAGGAATGCATTGTTTCATCTAAGAAAGGTTGTTGCTTTTCTCTCTGGTCAATGTTTGATTTGCATTAATGTAATAAATCATGAAAGTCAAAATCAATGTGAATCTTATCCACTTACATAACTAGAACTAAAACTTAGATAAACTACCTAATAAAAATAACAAGACCATATATACACAGTACAAAAGACCAGTAATAAGTACAGTACAATACCAAGGTTGTATGAAAAAACAGACAACTGCTTTTATGAATTAAAATTAGGCATTATTATTCACATCCCACAGCCACCTTCTATGTGTGCCTGGGTCATCATGGCCATAACAGAAATATCTCTGTATTTTAATTTAGAATCAACTCATTATGAGAATACAAACTGGGTAATAAGTTGTACTGAAGTATGTAAATAAATTGCATAAGGAGAGTTTGTAATGATGGAAGCCTTCTTCAACACAAAGCTTTAAATCAGGTTTTAAAGGAAATGACTATGAAAGCAAAGGGAAAAACTTAGGAAGAAAGAATTCTTATATCCTAACCAATTTAAAAATCCTGAAAATCTCAATAGATTAACAAAGTTCAATGTATTTGTCTTCTGAATAGCACTGAAGAGATTGTTAAAATACTTCAACTAGATTACTATGTCTATGAGTTGAAACAGCAACTTTCAGCACACCTTTTTTGGTTATTGCTTTGTTTGCTTCTCCGCTGACCTGCAATCACATGCAAACACTCCTATATAAAGACTACTGTGAGTACCACAGACTGACCCATACAGAGGGTTCCAAAGGTACATAATTTCACCTGCTAGCAACAAAAAGAATAGAAAACTGTGAATTCTCAAGATGATCTCAAAGAGTTTTGAAGATGACTACGATAGTCTAAATAAGAGTTAAGAGTTATTTTACACTTAATCAGTTTGTTTCACATTCTTTTGCAATGAGAAAATAACTAGGAAATCTGGCCATGGGTAATAAAGAAAAAAAGCGTTGCAGTCTTTTCTTGCTTGGTCATCTTTAGCAATTCATTTATCCAAAATTTCAAGCATGAAATGATTACCAAGTAGCTTTTGTCATAAAATGCCATTTGCCCATTAATACACTTGGCTGACTACCTGAGGATTACTTAAATGTGATTTCTACCAAGAAATCTTCCTAGACCTCCCCCACTGCACCCTGACCCCCAGTGGGAGGCTCCTCAGTGGTCCACCACTAAGTGATTATCACTCTTGAGGCACTCACCACACTGGCTTCTAACGGTTGACTTACAAGTATTGCTTTTTTTTCTCTTTTGTCCCTTTCCCCTCTCTCCTACTAGACTCTGAGCTCATCTGAAGACAGACTATCCCCAAGTTCTTACACAAATTCTGCCACAGAGTAGACACTTGACAAATGTTTGCTGAATGAGAAAGCATAGAGAGAGGGTGAGGACGCTAAAGACCACAGAGATCTTCCAGTTGTTGAACTTCCACTTACTATGTAAGAAATTAGAGGTACAGAAGATTTAAATACTAAAGCCATGGTTAGAAAACCCATTTCCACTACTCAAGGATGCTTCCTTATGTCAGTTCTTTATATACAGAATACAGAACCCTGTTTACTCTTAACAATGTAAAATTAAGTAGTCCCAGCTACTGAGGAGACTGAGGCAGAAGAATCGCTTGAACCCAGGAGGCGGAGGTTGCAATATGCTGAAATCGCACCACTGCACTCCAGCCTGGGCAACAGAGAGAGACTCTATCTCAAAAAAAAAAAAAAAAAAAAAGGTGGCTGGCAAGATGGTCAAATAGGAACAGCTCCAGTCTGCAGTTCCCAACAAGGTCAACACAGAAGATGGGTGATTTCTACATTTCTAACCGAGGTACGCAGCTCATCTCATTGGGACTGGTTAGAGAGTGGGTACAGCCCACAGACAGTGAGACAAAGCAGGGTGGGGCATGAGCCAAAGCAGGTTGGGGCATTGCCTCTCCCGGTAAGTGCAAGGGGTCAGGGAACTCCCTCCACTAGCCAAGTGAAGCCGTGAGGGACTGTGGAGTGAGGAACGGTTCACTCCAGCCCAGATACTATACTTTTCCCATGGTCTTTGCAATCTGCAGACCAGGAGTTTCCCTTTGGTGCCTATGCCACCAGGGCCTTGGGTTTCAAGCACAAAACTGGATGGCCGTTTGGGCAGACACCAAGCTAGCTGCTGGAGTGTTTTTTCATACCCCAGTGGCACCTGGAATGCCTGTGAGACAGAACCGTTCACTCCCTGGAAAGGGGGCTGAAGGCAGGGAGCCAAGCAGTCTAGCTCAGTGGATCCCACCCCCATGGAGCCCACCAAGCTAAGACCCACTGGCTTGAAACTCTCGTTGCCAGCACAGCAGTATGAAGTCGACCTGGGACACCCCAGCTTGGTGGGGGCAGGGGTGTCGACCATTACTGAGGCTTGAGTAGGCGGTTCTCCCCCTCACAGTGTAAACAAAGCCACCAGAAAGGTCGAACTGGGTGGGGCCCAACACAGCTCAGCAAAGGCACAATAGCCAGACTGACTCTCTACATTCCTCCTCTCTGGGCAGGGCATCTCCAAAAGAAAGGCAGCAGCCCCAGTCAGAGGCTTATAGATAAAACTCCCATCTCCTTGGGACAGAGCACCTGGGGGAAAGGGTGGCTCTGGGCGCAGCTTCAGCAGACTTAAACACTCCTGCCTGCCAGCTCTGAAGAGAGCAGGGAGTCTCCCAGCACAGTGCTTAAGCTCTGCTAAGCATCAGATTGCCTCCTCAAGTGCGTTGCTGACCCCTGTACCTCCTGATTGGGAGACACCTCCCAGCAGGGGTCGACAGATACCTCATACAGGAGAGATCTGACTGGCATCTGGAAGGTGCCCCACTGAGACAAAGCTTCCAGAGGCAGGAACAGGCAGCAATCTTTGCTGTTTGACAGCCTCCACTGGTAATACCCAGGCAAACAGGCTCTGGGGTAGACCTGCAGCAAACCCCAGCAGACCTGCAGCAGGGGGGCCTGACTGTTAGAAGGAAAACTAACAATCAGAAAGGAATAGCATCAATATTAACAAAAAGGACGTCCACACAGAAACCCCATCCAAAGGTCAACATGAAAACACAAAGGTAGATAAATCCACAAAGATGAGGAAAAACCAGCACAAAAAGGCTGAAAATTCCAAAAACCAGAATGCCTCTTCTCCTCCAAAGGATCATCACAACTCTTTGCCAGTAAGGGAACAAAACTGGATGGAGAATGAGTTTGACGAATTGACAGAAGTAGGCTTCAGAACATGGGTAATAACAAACTCCTCCAAGCTAAAGGAGCATGTTCTAACCCAATGCAAAGAAGCTAAGAACTTTGAAAAAAGGTTAGATGAATTGCTAACTAGAATAACCAGTTTAGAGAGGAACATAAATGACCTGATGGAGCTAAAAAACACAGCACGAGAACTTCGTGAAGCATACACAAGTATCAATAGCCGAATCGATCAAGCAGAAGAAAGCGTATCCAAGATTGAAGATCAACTTAATGAAATAAAGCATGAAGACAAGATTAGAGAAAAAAGAATCAAAAGGAACAAACAAAGCCTCCAAGAAATATGGGGCTATGTGAAAAGACCAAACCTACATTTGATTAGTGTACCTGAAAGTGACAGGGAGAATGGAACCAAGCTGGAAAACACTCTTTAGGATATTATCCAGGAGAACTTCTTAACCTTAAATGTAAACAAGTTATATGCCACAATTAAAAGACACAGACTGGCAAATTGGATGGAGTCAAGACTCATCGGTGTGCTGTATTCAGGAGACCGATCTTATGTGCTAAGACACACATAGGCTCAAAATAAAGAGATGGAAGAATATTTACCAGGCAAACGGAAAGCAAAAAAAAAGCAGGGGTTGCAATCCTAGTCTCTGATAAAACAGACTTTAAACCAACAAAGATCAAAAGAGACGCTCACGCCTGTAATCCCAGCACTTTGGGAGGCCGAGGCGGGTGGATCACGAGGTCAGGAGATCGAGACCATCCCGGCTAAAACGGTGAAACCCCGTCTCTACTAAAAATATAAAAAATTAGCCGGGCGTAGTGGCGGGCGCCTGTAGTCCCAGCTACTTGGGAGGCTGAGGCAGGAGAATGGCGTGAACCCGGGAGGCGGAGCTTGCAGTGAGCCGAGATCCCGCCACTGCACTCCAGCCTGGGCGACAGAGCGAGACTCCGTCTCAAAAAAAAAAGAGACAAAGAAGGGCATTACATAATGGTATAGGGATCAATGCGACAAGAAGAGCTAACTATCCTAAAAACACATGCACCCACTACAGGAGCACCCAGATTCATAAAGCAAGTTCTTAGAGACCTACGAAGAGATTTAGACTCCCACACAATAATAGTGGGAGACTTGAACACTTCACAGTCAGTATTTGACAGATAAACAAGACAGAAAATTAACAAGGATATTCAGGACTTGAACTCAGCTCTGGACCAAGTTGACCTAATAGGCATCTACAGAACTCTCCACCCCAAATCAACAGAATATACATTCTTCTCAGAACCACATTGCACTTATTCTAAAATTGACCACATAATTGGAAGTAAAACACTCCTCAAAAAATGTAAAAGAATGGAAATCACAACAAACAGTCTCCCAGACCACAGTGCAATCAAATTAGAATTCAGGATTAAGAAACTCACTCAAGAGCTTGCACTGAGCCAGGATCGCACCACTGCACTCCAGCCTGGCAACAGAGCAAGACTCCACCTCAAAACAAAAAAAAAGAAACTCACTCAAAACCACGCAACTACATGGAAACTGAACAACCTGCTCCTGAATGACTACTGGGTAAGTAACAAAATTAAAGTATAAATAAATAAGTTCTTTGAAACCAATGAGAACAAAGACACAAATGTACCAGAATCTCTGGGACACAGCTAAAGCAGTGTTTAGAGAAAAATTTATAGCACTAAATGCCCACAAGAGAAAGCAGGAAAGATCTAAAATTGATACTCTAACATCACAATTAAAAGAACTAGAGAAGCAAGAGCAAACAAATTCAAAAGCTAGCAGAAGACAAGAAATACCTAAGATCAGAGCAGAAATGAAGGAGACAGAGACATGAAAAACCCTTCAAAAAAAAATCAATGAATCCAGGAGCTGCTTTTTTGAAAAGATCAACAAAATAGACCACTAGCCAGACTAATAAAGAAAAAAAGGGATAAGATACAAATAGACACAACAAAAATGATAAGGGGGATATCACCACTGATCTCCCACAGAAATACAAACTACCATCAGAGAATACTATAAACACCTCTATGCAAATAAACTAGAAACTCTAGTAAGAAATGGATAAATTCCTGAACATATACACTCTCCCAAGTCTAAACCAGGAAGAATTCGAATCCCTGAATAGATCAATAACCAGTTCTAAATTGAGGCAGTAATTAATAGCCTACCAACGAAAAAAAGCCCAGGACCAGACGAATTCACAGCCAAATGCTACCAAAGGTACAAAGAGGAGCAGTAACCATTCCTGCTGAAACTATTTCAAACAACAGAAAAAGAGGGACTCCTCCCAAACTCATTTTATGAGGCCAGCATCATCCTGATACCAAAACCCTGCAGGGACACAATAAAAAAAGAACATTTCAGGCCAATATTCCTGAAGAACATCAATACGAAAATCCTCAATAAAACACTGGCAAACCAAATCCAGCAGCACATTAAAAAGCCTATCCTCCATGATCAAGTCAGCTTCATCCCTGGGATGCAAGGCTGGTTCAACACAGGCAAATTAATAAACGTAATCCATCACATAAACAGAACCAATGACAAAAACCACATGATTATCTCAATAGATGCAGAAAAGGCCTTCAATAAAATTCAACACCCCTTCATGCTAAAAATTCAGTAAACTAAGCATTGATGGAATGTATCTCAAAATAAGAAGAGTTTTTTATGACAAACCCACAGTCAATATCATAATCAATGGCCAAAAATTGGAAGCATTCCCTTTGAAAACCAGCACAAGACAAGGATGCCCTCTCTCACCACTCCTATTCAACACAGTATTGGAAGTTCTGGCCAGGGCAGAAAGAAATAAAGGTATTCACACAGGAAGAGAGGAAGTCAAATTGTCTCTGTTTGCAGATGACATGACTGTATATGTTGTATATTTAGAAACCCCAGGGTCTCAGCCCAAAATCTCCTTAAGCTGATAAGCAATTTCAGCAAAATCTCAGGATAAAAAAATCAATGTGCAAAAATCACAAGCATTCCTATACACCAATAAGAGACAAACAGAGAGCCAAATAATACGTGAACTCACATTCACAATTGCTACAAAGAGAATAAACTACCTACGAATACAACTTAAAGGAATGTGAAGGACCTCTTCAAGGAGAACTACAAACCACTGCTCAAGGAAATAAGAGAGGACACAAACAAATGGAAAAACATTCCATACTCATGGATAGGAAGAATCAACATTGTGAAAATGGCCATACTGCCCAAAGTAATTTATAGATTCAATGCCATCCCCATCAAGCTACCATTGACTTTCTTCACAGAATTAGAAAAAAACTACTTTAATTTTACATGAAACAAAAAAAAAAGCCCATATAGCCAAGACAATCCTAAGCAAAAAGAACAAAGCTAGAGGCATCATGTTACCTGACTTCAAACTATACTACAAGGCTACAGTAACCAAAACAGCATGGTACTGCTACCCAAAACAAATATATAGACCAATGGAACAGAACAGAGGCCTCGGAAATAATGCCACACATACAACCATCTGATCCTTGACAAACCTGACAAAAACAAGCAATGGGTAATGGATTCCCTATTTAATAAACGGTGTTGGGAAAACTGGCTAGCCATAAGCAGAAAACTGAAACTGGACCCCTTACTTAAACCATATACAAAAATTAATTCAAGATGGATTACAGACTTAAACATAAGACCTAAAACCATAAAAACCCTAGAAGAAAATCTAGGCAGTACCATCCAAGACATAGGTATGGGCAAAGACTTCATGACTAAAACACCAAAAGCAATAGCAATGAAAGCCAAAATTGATAAATGAGACCTAATTAAATTAAAGAGCTTCTGCACAGCAAAAGAAACTATTACCAGAGTGAACAGGCAACCTATAGAATGGGAGAAAATTTTTGCAATCTATCCATCTAACAAAGGGCTAATATCCAGAATCTACAAAGAACTTAAACAAATTTACAAGAAAAAAAAACAAACAACCCCACCAAGAAGTGGGCAAAGAATATGAACAGACACTTTTCAAAAGAAGATATTTTTGCAGCCAACAAACATAAGCTCATCATCACTGCTCATTAGAGAAATACAAATGAAAACCACAATGAGATACCATCTCATGCTAGTTAGAATGGCAATTATTAAAAAGTCAGGAAACAGCAGATGCTGGAGAGGATGTGGAGAAATAGGAACACTTTTACACTGTTGGTGGGAGTGTAAGTTAGTTCAACCACTGTGAAAGACATTGTGGTGATTCCTCAAGGATCTAGAACTAGAAATACCATTTGACTCAGCAATCCCATTACTGGGTATATACTCAAATCATTCTACTAAAAAGACACATGCACACGTATGTTTATTACAGCAATGTTCACAATAGCAAAGACTTGGAACCAACCCAAATGCCCATCAATGACAGACTGGATAGAGAAATTGTGGCACATATATACCATGGAATACTATGCAGCCATAAAAAGGATAAGTTCATGTCCTTTGCAGGGACATGGATGAAGCTGGAAACCATCATTTACAGCAAACTACGACAGGAACAGAAAACCAAACACCACATGTTCTCATTCATAATTTGGAGTTGAACAATGAGATCACATGGACACAGGGAGGGGAACATCACACACCAGGGCCTGTCAGCGGGTGGGGATTTAGGCGAGGGATAGCATTAGGAGAAATACCTAATGTAGATGACAGGTTGATGGGTGCAGCAAACCACCATGGCACATGTATACCTATGTAAACTGCACATTCTGCACATGTATCCCAGAACTTAAAGTATAAATTTAAAAAAGTAAAATTAATCTTTCAAATATTAACCATACACTCCCAGATAATTATCTAAAAAAAAGAAAGCCTATGTCCCTGCAAAAATTTCCACATGAATGTTTACAGCAGCATTATTAATAACAGCCAAAATGAGGAAACTACCCAAATGTCTCTCAACTGATAAATGGATAAATAAAATATGGTACAGTTTGGGCAACCCTAACCCAGAAATTCAAAACATTTTGAGCACAAATATAACTCCATAAATGGAAAATTCCACACCTGACTTCTTGTGACAAGTTGCATTCAGAACACAGGCGCACAATAAACAATTTAGTCAGTGTCCCCAAGGGAAAAAAGACCCCTCCAACCCTCTTCAGTTGGAATATATATTTTCCTACATGCCCTTATTCTCCTACACAAACACTCAGACAAAGGGTAATAAAATGGCACATGTGCAGGTGGATATGCCAATGGGATATGCCAATGCCAGGTTCCCCACAATGCCCCCACATGAGGCCAAGACCTATGTGCATCACTTATTGTGGTTTTTCTGCTTATTCTCTACTATCTGGTGTAAAGATATTGTTGAATATGTCACAAAGGCTTGCCTAATACATAAAGTATTGCAAATATTCAAAACTTCAAAAAATCAAAAATCCAAAACATTCTGGTCCCACGCATTTCTGAAAAGGGAAACTCAACATGTATATCCATGCAATGAATATTATTTGACTACAAAAAGGAACTAAATATTGGTATACACTACAACATGGATGAAAACATTGTTAGGTGAAAGGTAGAAGACACAGAAGACCACATATTATATGATTCTATTTACATAAAATGTACAGAACAAGCCAATCCAGAAAAAAACATATGATTAGCAGCTGCCTGTGGCTAATGTGAGCCAGGGATGGGGTGATGGAAATTTCTAAAATTGATTGTGGCTGACCAATTCTGCAAGTATACTAAAAATTTTATGGTATGTGAATTATATCTCAATAAAGCTGCTATAAAAAATAGAAACTATACTTTAAAATTGAGTTATCCATCATATTAAAATTTAGAAAGTCTCATTAAGAAAGGGTTTTCATTTCCATGCTTCACCAATCCAAGTTAAGTGTGGCATAACTGGTAAACCCAAAATTCATTTCAAATTCCTAAAATGTCACATTTACACAAAAACTACTTATTCAAAGAAGTTTCCATATTAAATATATTTTAATATTTTGAGAATTGTTTGTTTATATTTTATGGCTATGTGGTTTCATAAACCCAAATGCCTGATTCCCCAAGTATCTTGAATAACTAGATTTTTTTGCTGTATTTAAGCAATTTCTATTTTGAATTTTCAATTCTGTGACTTCATGTATTTAAAAGTAAGTCATTTTACTGATAAAGCATGTATGAACAGGAAGCAAATCCAGGAAAGGAAAGTTCTACTGTGAATTATCCTGTTATTCTGTGGCAAGTCTTCTGCCTACACCAAAACCCACAGATACAGAAATTCAAAGGGAGCTGTGTTAATATGCGAGCTTGACTCCAGCAGGAATATACTTAGTCCTTTCATGCTCAAGTCAATGACACTGTAGTCACTCAGACTCCCAAGATCAAGCCCAAAATTAAGGTGGAATTCACTGCATTTCACGTATATTAATTTTTTTTAGATTACACATACATCATTTCAATGTATTTTTTAATGTGTGATTTTGCTAGCTATTTATCTGAATTTTCAACATGAGTTTTTTGATTGAATACTATACGCTTATAAATAGAACTCCTGATGTTTTCCTTATAAGGAATAACTTCTGCATTCCTTTAACAGAAAAGTGAGATTTTTTTTATGAGAAAGAGGTTAAAGAAATCCAATTTAGAGTCATATGTCATACATTCACAACATGGGGAAAACCCTTGAATATTTTACAATATTTTACAAAATTCTGAGTGGCTTTTTCTTAATTAAAAAAACCACTAATTTCAACTGACAATCCAATATAATAATATATGAGAACTTTGCTTTATCAGGATATTCTTTAAAAACCTAAGAACAGCTAAGGCACCAGAGTTGACAAAAGATTATTTATAAAAATAATTAATTACTGACATCTCAGCAGCAGCACATTTTTGTGGTTTATAAAATTTGGAGACAACAAACTACCCAGAAACATACCATGAGTTAATGTGAGGATGGATTAGACATAAACAAATATTTTTTAAAGTCTCATTCTATATAAAGGACCCATTCACAGGTGACCTGCAACAAAAAAACCTGTCACTCCTGATGTTGAAAAGATTTAAATTAAGACTAGGGGATTAGTTGATGTACAGTGAATCCCAGAAAATTCATTTGACTCTAAAGTTTCTATCCCGAAACCCAATGAAGATTCAAAAAGTAGATTCAATACATTTCTCATAGAATACTTTTAGGCACATAGTAGGCATTGAAATATTTATAAAATAGTCAACAATATTGATTAAAAAAATAAGGCAAAATGACCACCCTCTGACATATCAATACTTGGGCTCCACTCAAATACATTGGCTGTACCAATACAAATCTGTTCTACGATTTGTGCTTAATTCACGAGTAAAACATGAATGTGTTAAACGATAAGGGCAAACATTTTCCAAATACTTTAATTCATACTTTAAATAGTACTTTGCTGCCTAAAAGGACATTTGTATCCAAATTTGGCACTATTTGATACTACAATTCATATAAATAGTTCAAAACAGTTTTTGCAAAAGGGCACCCAGTCATTTCTAAAAATAACCTTAACTCTGAATACTTAAACTTCCTATAAAGATAACCAGATAGAACTCCTAAATCTATCCAATTTTATACATATAAGGAACCTCACAGTCTTTCAAACATAACCTTTTGCTTAAAATATTATAGATTTTTGGCTCTGAATTTGTCCGGCCCGATGACTCAGGCTATCAGTTTTTTTTATTTACTTATTAATGAAATGGGAATAATACCTAGTATACTCAACCTACTGGGTTATTAGAATAATACTAATATTATTATTCATGATATGATTTTGAAAAGCACAAAACATTCAATACAACCAAAAGACACCCAAGTTATCTGAAAAAATAAACCACCCCTCATTAAGGTTCAAGTTTCCCTTTTAAGGCAAATGTGTCATTTATTTATAAGTTTTGTTTTTTTTATTAACCAGTCTTGTTTTCTTATAAAGCAGAGGAAGGAGAAGAGAACATTTAAAAGAGTCAGGAAGTTAGTGAATTTACAATTTTCCTTCCAGACTAAATACATCATATCACTACTCAATTCTCCCCTTTACCTATTCAAACTAATTTACATAGAGGAAAGGCTATAGAAACCTGCAAGCAGATGCCAGCTCTATAGAACATGTATCTTCCCTGCCAATAAATGGGTCTACAAAACCAATAGGGATGATTTAGAAAGCACATTGGAACTTTGCTTTTCTATTAAATACATCTGCAGGGAAAACAAGCAAATGAAAAGAAACATAGCCACAAGAAACATCTTTTAAATGAACACAATTTTAATTTTATTGTCATTTATCTTCTGACGAAGGAGATCTGGATTAAAAAAAAGAGATCTGGATTTAAAAAAAATAAACACATCTAGATTCAAATTTTGGCTCCTTTGCTTAATAGTTTTATGACCCCTGAAAAGTTGTTAACTTTACTGAATAACAGTCTCCTTATGTGTAAATAAACTTTATGAGGGATTAATATTACTTACCTGGGGGTTTATGGTAAGAATGAAATCAATTTAAATTAAATAGTCTATGCAAAACATCTGCTAAGGTGTAGGCATTTAGTGTTATTTCCTTTTTCTACCCCTACTTTCAAAAAGGGTTTCAGGAGCTTTCTCTTCATTTTATTTTGACCTCAACTGAAAGGAACACAGACTATCATTTATAACATAAAGGACACTATAGGATTAGTATCAGTGTACTTTTTAAGAGAACTCTTATTTCCCCCTCCCTCCCTCAGCATAGAGGACACACACAAAGCTGGAAGAAGGGTCAAAGGACTAAAAGATTTCACTGATCAGTTTTACTTAGGATCAGTAGAATCATCTTGTAAGTTATAACTGAACAGTCTTAAGAGAGTGCCAGAATTCAATCAGATATTTTAATAACAGTAAGATTTCTGTGCTTCTGCCAGATAGGAAGAACATGAAGAAAAAAAAAAAAAAAGAGAGAGAGAGAAAGAAGTCCATATAGTTCAAGGATCTTTAAAGCTTGGTGAAAAGGTATTTAATTATCTTAACAGCCAAAGAAATAGAAAATCCAATCAAGTATTACAGACAACATTCTACAAATGAATAGAATAGGGGTATAGACCACATGGTGAAGCAGAAATTAATTTTTACATGCCTGTTATCAATAAATAAAGTTTGATATATCTTAAATGAACTAACAAAAATCTGATGAACATCTTGCTCAAATTCTTCACGCAGCCTCAAATAATTGAGAAAATTGCTTGGGATAATATACTTCTGAGGAGATTTAAAATATGAAATATTTAGGAGAATCAAATTCATACTGTTAACATTTTATAATAACAAAACCAATCATATTTTAAGTATGTGTAACTTATAAGAGAATATGACCTATTAGAGTGACAGGACAATAATTCCTTGTAGTTCTGATTAAAATTAAAAATTGAATAACTGATTGAGACTTGTGATTATAAGTAGAAATCTTATTAGCACTAAACATAGTATTGACATATTTAAGAGAACATTACAGTCACTATATTTGTAAGTTTAATTTGTGACATGCATAAAATTTTTTCAATTCTCAGAAAAGTAATTAAAAATCAAATATATTAAATGTATAGAGTTTTAAATGGTTTAATGTGGTTAAATTTATAAATGACTAAGTATCATTCAAAAACCCTTAAATGTTTAAAATTTGATATACTTATAACAAGAATAATGTGTTTTATAAACAGAACTTAGAAGCCAAAGATAAAACTAGGTGTTTGAATCTGTAACATTAATAAATTTAATATTAATTTTTAAAATCAAAATAATCTTTTCATTTTTTTATGTCCACAACCACTATTGCTCAGAAAACACCAAACACATCACATTAAATAAAGCAAATTTAATGACAGGTTTTAGAAGTGACTATTTCTTTTATAGAATCTGAATTCATAGAATCCTCCAACTATAGGTAGTTATTAAATACCGAGTAACTAAGTAACTTGATAAATCTAAGTAAATGATTCTTTCCATAGGCAAAATGAAATACTAATCTTGCAACATTTTGTGCTTTTTCATTTACATCCAAACTAAGTCAAGAGTTGTCCTTCCATTATCATATGCTGGATTTAGTTTGGATATAAATGAAAATTTTATTCCTACATTCAAGTGGTTGTCCATTAACTATTTCTATTAACTTTCTAGTAGTTGTTCATTAACTATTCTCCAAACTTTGAAATCAGCAAAATATGTAACCATATCCATCTTTGGTATTTTAAGCTTAATTATCATAAAAGCTCTTAGGGAAATTTAAGCATTAATACAGAAAATGTATCTTTTCTTTGAAAATAACCAAATCCATTTTAAAAAGGAATTGTTTATACAGTCTGGGATTTTACCCAAGTTACAATTTTTAATGAATGAAAATAAATATATAATCAATGTAACAAGAGAGCGAATACAATCTCAAAGCTTAATTTAACATTGCTGATGACTTAATGAAACTGTATTTACCTCAGAGCCCTGATTTGATAAGGCTGTTCATTATTTTTTAGGGCACACCTATTATTTATTCCCATAATAACTCTAACAAATAACAACATAATAACTCTAACAAATAAAAGTAAGCAAAAAAGAAAAAAGAAGGTGAGAGTAAGAAAATGTACCCATTCACTTGGTGAATATTTTTTCTGTACCTGCCTTGTGCTAGGCAGTGGCCTAGGCACTGGGGATAAAGAGGTGAATGAGATAGACAAGGGCTCTACTATCCTGGAACCTATAAGTTCTAATATGAGAAAAATAAATGAAGAAGAAACATCAAGTAATGATAAGTTACACTCTGGAAATAAAAAGAGTGATATGATAGAGCCTGAGAAGCCAATTTAAACTGCAGAACAGGGGAGGTCTCCAAGGAAGTGATATTTAGGCAAGTGGTTTGGAGGTGAGAAACTATCCATACACAAACTCCTTCCGGCAAATCATTCACAAAATTTAACTAGTTTTATTAAGTTCTAGGCAAGTGCTGGATCTACTGAGACCAACAACCACATTTTAGGCTTTTTTTGCACACAAAATACAAAGTATGTCTTGTCCTCAAAGGGCACTTATAATCCACATTTGAAACTGATTAATGATTAATAAAGAATAAGGGTCTAACACTAGTACCTTACCACTAAGCCACTTTCTAATCTAAAAATGAGTAGATTAGAAAGCTGCTTATGAAATTTCTACCCAGAAATCATGACAGCAGGCCTCTCAAATATATAGTTGCTTTCTCATAACTAGTTAGTCAAAGGTAGAAAAACAATTAAAATTGCTTTAGTTAGTATGGCTTACTGCCTACTATTCCTGTCGTTCCTACAAAAAGAAGTGTGAAGAAAGGGGTCGTACAGTAAAGTGGGCTAAGTAGGATATCTCAGGCACCAATTTTTAACTCCTCCAAAGCTAGGCATTGTATATCTCCATGAAATCAACAGAAAGAATAATAATACAGATTCTTTCTTTTGTTAAAAGATGAACGTTTGCTCCCAAATCCTATAATTTCAAAGGTAACAGTCAGCATTTGGAAAAGGAATTAAAATCATCTCCCTTCCCTAAGCTTTGGAACCCAGTTCTAACCATAACTGCCAATCTAGTCACACTTACTTTTGCTTCCTGATAACTCCCTAAAATTCTGACTTTCATCCTCCCATATGTACTCCAAGAATTTCTTTTCTCCCATTCTATCTAGCAAAATCATTTATTTTCAAAATTCTTCCTTCCTTAGGACACAGTCTTCCAAGAATGTTGTCAATAATCTTAACAGGATTGAACTCAGAAACATAAAAATGTTTAAGAGATAAGGAACTTCAAGTTTTAACCCCTGTCAAGCATGACACCCAAGCAGCTAGACTGAAGTCCAGGCTGTCCCATGGCTTTAAACTGTACAGCACATGAGTGACTGAGGCAAAAACTATGTCTTCCCTTCAACTATCTGATGCAGTGCCTTAAGAATAAGTCTATTATTAACCGATAAAACTGTAGTGTAGCTTTAAAATAAAGAACACAAGGAAACAAATCTTCCACTTGTTCCAAAATAAGATGTGAAATTATGGCAGAGAACTCTGCCATTTCATAAGTCCCATTTATACTAAAAACCACTTTGATGTTTAACACTTTATTTGTGAAAAGGAAAACTGATCAAACTGATCACGTACATTTATATCTGGATATAAATTACTTCAGTATGCAGTTATCTTATAATTACCTATATTTCTGCAATTGATAAATGAAAATTCGGAATCCAAACTTTAATGCTAGCTCATCTGGTTGATTTCTATTCAAAACATTAATGGAAGACTGACTATGCACTATGGGTAGGCACTGAGCCAGTAACTGTGAAATTAAAAATAATAATAAGATTTGCCTTCGGGGAGCTGACCATCTCTACATACCACTTTTTTTTCCTTAGGAGACAAGGTCTCACCCTGTTGCCCAGGCTGGAGTGCAGTAGCGCAATCATAGCTCACTGCAGCCTTCAACTCCTAAGCCAGCCTCCAACTCCTGAGCTCAAGCTATCTTCCTACCTCAGCTTTCCAAGTATCTATGACTACAGTACAATGATATTACAGTATAGTCCTATTACTTCTGCTGATTTACAGAAATTAATCACCAGGTAACAACCAGAAAATGAAATAAATCAATGAGGTAGTATTTCAGTACTGTAGGAAAATAATCCATTTGTTTAGATAAATTAAATAGAATAATATGAAATTCAACATGAATAAAGTTAAGAAATCAACCTTTACATAGAAAATAAAAGATCTAAAATTCTACTTCTATGGCACGCAGGTTTTTGTTTAGAAATAAACTAGAACCAAAGAATATTAACACTCAATATGTTTACAATAAAAAGAAGGTTCTTAATTGCAGCTAATTTTCTCTTGAAAGCTTGTGTCCTTTCTGAAATGCTCACCGGTACTTTAGAGCCAAGGGTTCAACTACCAACAAAATGGGCTGTCTGAGAAAATTAAACATGCCTACAGAAATGTTTTCCTTGGAAGTCTGTCCAACCAGCATCACTGATGAAAAAAATCCAACCAAGCTAGGGGCCAGCAGTAACTGGAGAACGTAGTGTCAGGCAACAGGACAGAGTGAGCAACACTGTCACAGGTACAGGCTGGCAGGTAGGCAAGTAGGCAGGCAAACCTGGCAGCAGATAGCGAGATCCCAGTTAAAGTTGTCCAGGTAATCATGAAGGCAGGTAACCAAACACAGAAAGCAAGACAGGAACTCTCATCCTACAACAGGGGCACAGAAGACCTAAACTTCCCCAACTCTAACAATACTGGCCCCAAAGTCTCTATCAAGACTGACACAGAAAATGAGGCAATCTTATAGGATACTGGTAGACTTTAGTGACACTTAGTCATTCAAGTTATCACAATGTGACAACTACAAATATGCAAATGAAGAACTCCTAAGTCCTAGTTCTGCTTCAAATAAGCACTGATTTTCTAAACCATACAAAATAACAAATTTGTGACAAGTGAGAATGCATTGAGAATAGCTATACCCGTTTCAGTGCCCAGACAGTTAAGGGAACTAAAGAAAATTAACACAAGTCAAGTTCAGACATTTTTTTAGAACAGAACAGCAATTAGAGCAAGCAAGAAAGTACTATCCAGTGGGAATAAAAAGAAATAGGAGAACTATTTTGGACTAATTTTGTAATAGGAAAAAAAAAGATTCTGAATCTCCTACAGGTTATTCTTGATTATCCATGTCGCAAGAACAGTATAGGAGTATGGATAAAACAAAGCAATAGATAATACACAAATCATTATACTTTGATAGATATTTTAAGAAGTAAAATTTTATACTAAGTTTATCTTACTATTTATGTTTTCTTTTGAACAACAGGAATCAGATAGTGTGCTATTTACAGTTGCTTAAGAGTAAGCATAAGATTTCAGACAAAAAAATGAGAGGGCTTAATAATCCTTTATTAAAAGATGTACACTTCAGGAAAAAGGAAACTAATACTAGAGGAAAATCTATGATACATGAATAAACAGTGAAAAGAAAAACAGGTATGTAAATGAAAATAAATAATAATTGTATTAATGACAGTAAGAATTATCTGATTCAGAAAGTTTTTTTAAAAATCTAAATACGAGCAATTTTGTAAACACAAGAAGCAGAATAACAAAAATGACCTAAATGGTTCACAAGGAGAGTAAGAATATTGAATAACTGTAGACTTTGTTAAGATACACATATATAAATACAAACATATGTGGACATATACATATACACACACACACACACACACACACACACACGCATATTTACAAACATATATTCTAAAATAACAGAATAAACAATTTTAAAAATAACTAAGCTCCCTGCTAGTGGAGGGGACAAAACAAATGAGAAGGAAAAACTCAAAAAAATCACCAAAAAAGAGGAAAAAAAAAACCAACAGAAATGGAAATGTTACATTAAAATGCTAAAAATAATCACAAATATATTAATAATTATAATAAATCTAAGTGAACCAAATTCCCTGTTATCTTTAAAAGTCTGAATTTTTAAGAAATCTATTGATATGCTGTTCATAAGACATTCTTAAAAAATAAGGACACAAAAATATTGCAAATAAAAGACTTTAAAAGAGGCCTTCAAGGAAAGCCAATTTAGCTATATTTGCATCCAACATATAGACTTAAGTAGAAATAAGGAAATGGCATATAAGTACATAAGGAAAGAATGACTTTTAAAATTATAAAGGAAGACATAAGTCTAAACTTATATATACTTAACAAAGAGCTTTGAAATATATTAGTAAAAAACTGTCAGTAAAAAAATTAATACTTACAAATAATTCATGGCCAAAGGAGTAAACAATAGAAATCAGAAAACACAAAACTAATGACAAACATACAAATATAAAAACTTGCGAGATGCAGCTAAGCAGTAAAATTTAGTCTTAAAATCTTCTGTTAGAAAAAAAGGCTGAAAATTAATGAGCTAAGCATCAAAATAAGAAAAACAACAAAAAAAGTAAAATAGAAGGAAAAAACCCACAGCCAATATCATACTGAATGGCCCAAAACTGGAAGCATTCCCTTTGAAAACCAGCACAAGACAAGGATGCCCTCTCTCACCACTCCTATTCAACATAGTATTGGAAGTTCTGGCCAGGACAATCAGGCAAGAGAAAGAAATAAAGGGTCTTCAAATAGGAAGAGAGGAAGTCAAATTGTCTCTGTTTGCAGATGACATGATTATATATTTAGAAAACCCCATCGTCTCAGCCCAAAATCTCCTTAAGTTGATAAGCAACTTCAGCAAAGTCTCAGGATAAAAAATCAATCTGCCAAAATTACAAGCATTCCTATACACCAATAATAGACAAACAGAGAGCCAAATCATGAGTGAACTTCCATTCATAACTGCTACAAAGAGAATAAAATACCTAGGAATAAAACTCACAAGAAATGTGAAGGATCTTTTCAAGGAGAACCACAAACCACTGCTCAAGGAAATAAGAGAGGACACAAACAAATGGAAAAACATTACATGCTTGTGGACAGGAAGAATCAATATCATGAAAATGGCCATACTGCCCAAAGTAATTTACAGATTCAATGCTATCCCCATGAAGCTACCATTGACTTTCTTCACAGAATTAGAAAAAACTACTTTAAGTTTCATATGGAAGCAAAAAAGAGCCCATATAGTCAAGACAATCCTAAGCAAAAAGAACAAAGCTGGAGGCATCATGCTACCTGACTTCAAATTATACTACAAGGCTACAGTAACTAAAACAGCATGGTACTGCTACCCAAAACAGATATATAGACCAATGGAACAGAACAGAAGCCTCAGCAATAATGCCACACATCTACAACCATCTGATCTTTGACAAACCTGACAGAAACAAGCAATGGGTAATGGATACCTTATTTAATAAATGGTGTTGGGAAAACTGGCTAGCCATAAGCAGAAAACTGAAACTGAACCCCTTCCTTACACCATATACAAAAATTAACTCAAGATGGATTACAGACTTAAATGTAAGACCTAAACCCATAAAAACCCTAGAAGAAAACCAAGGCAATATGATTCAGGACATAGGCATGGGCAAAGACTTCATGGCTAAAACACCAAAAGCAATGGCAACAAAAGCCAAAATTGACAAATGGGCTCCAGTTAAACTAAAGAGCTTCTGCACAGCAAAAGGAACTATCACCAGAGTGAACAGGCAACCTACAGAATGGGAGAAAATTTTTGCAATCTATCCATCTGACAAAGGGCTAATATCCAGAATCTACAAGGAATTTAAACAAATTTACAAGAAAAAAAAACAGACAACTCCATCAAAAAGTAGGTGAAGGATATGAACAGGCAATTATCAAAAGAAGACATTTATGTGGCCAAGAAACTTATGAAAAAAGCTCAGCATCACTGGTCATTAGAGAAATGCAAATCAAAACCACAATGAGATACCATCTCATGCCAGTTAGAATGGCAATCATTAAAAAGTCAGGAAACAACAGATGCTGGAGAGGATGTAGAGAAATAGGAACACTTTTACACTGTTGGTGGGTGTGTAAATTACTTCAACCATTGTGGAAGACAGTGTGGCAATTCCTCAAGGATGTAGAACTAGAAATACCATTTGACTCAGCAATCTCATTACTGGGTATATACTCAAAGGATATTATAAATCATTCTACTATAAAGACACATGCACATGTATGTTTATTGCAGCACTGTCCACAATAGCAAAGACTTGGAACCAACCCAAATGCCCATCAATGATAGACTGGATAAAGAAAATGTGCCACATATACACCATGGAATACTATGCAGCCATAAAAATGGATGAGTTCATTTCCTTTGCAGGGACATGGATGAAGCTGGAAACCATCATTCTCAGCAAACTAACACAGGGACAGAAAACCAAATACCGCATGTTCTCACTCATAAGTGGGAGTTGAACAATGAGAACACATGGACACAGGGAGGGGAACATCACACACTGGGGCCTGGAGGTGGGGTGCTAGGGGAGGGATAACCTTAGAAGAAATATCTAATGTAGGTGACGGGTTGATGGGTGCAGCAAACCACCACGGCACATGTATACCTATGTAACAAACCTGCACATTCTGCACATGTATCCCAGAACTTAAAGTATAATAATAATTTAAAAAGAAAGAAAATATAACCTTACCAAAATCGACTCCAAAAAATGGTTTTAAAGTAGAGTGCTATAGTCTTCAAAGAGGTTGAATGAAAAATTTAAAACTCATAATGCAAAAAAAAAAAAGTCCTAAATGGTCTTAGAGGAAACTGAATGAAGCACTCAAAGAACAAACCAATCTAGTATTACAAAAACTGCTTCAGAAAACCTAAGAGGTGAAAACATTCCTCAGGTCATTCTAGGAGACTGGTATAACCCTTATACCAAAACCCAGAAGGACAGTAGGAGGAAGGAAAATTATGGGTCTATCTCACTCACAACCATTGACGCAAAACTCTGAAAAAAATATTAGCAAATATGATCAGCCAGTGAATAAAAACATAAAATACAACAAAGACTTATCCCATGAATTCAAGTGGTTTAACATGAAAAGTACCTATTAATATCATTAAAGGAGAAATCTTATATGATTATATCTATATAGATGTATTTTAAAAGTTCAATGAAACTCAATATCCATTCACAATTTTTTAACACATGGCAAATAAATAAATGGCAATTGAAGAGAACTTCCTTAACCTGATCAAATATACCTAACAAAAATTAACACCAAATGCCATATATAATAATAAAATATTAAAATCTTTAACATTAAAATCAGAAACAAGACAAAAATGTCCACTACCCTCACCTTTGGTCAATATTTTAAAGGAGGTCCAAGTAAGACAAAGAAGAAAAAAAACAAAAGTATAAGCATTTTTTTTTCTTTTCTAACAAAGAAATAAACTATCATTATTGGAATACTATACAATCACCTATTTAGAAAATCTGAAATCTGCAGGCAAATTTTTAAAATTGATAATAACTCAGAAGTTCTAAGAAAGTTAGTATCAAAAATTAATTGCCTTTCAGGCTGGACATGGTAATCATACAGGTGATTACCTGTAATCCCAGCACTTTGGTAGGCTGAGGTGGGCAGATCACTTGAGCCCAAGAGTTCGAGACCAGCCTGGGCAACATGGCGAAACCTCATCTCTACCAAAAGTACAAAAATTAGCCCAGTGAGGTGGCACATGCCTGTGGCCCCAACTACTAGGGGAGGCTGAGGTGGAAAGATCACTGAAGTCTAGGAAGTTGAGGCTGCAGTGAGCCATGATTGCACCACTACATTCCAGCCTGGGTAACAAAGTGAGACCTTGTCTCAGAAAAAATGATCTTTTTAAATTAATTGCCTTTTAATTCATGGACAAAAAGAAGACACTATCCACAACAGTAGCAAAAAATGTTTTAAACAAAAGTTGTATAATTATATAATAAATATATTAAAGAAGACCCAAAGAGATAGAAAAGTATGATCTTAGCCAAGGACCGGAAAATTCATTATTTTAAACATTCTCTCAAATTTAATCTACAGATTCAATGAAATTCCAATCAAACTGAAAGAAAAATGTTTTATGAGCAATTGCACAGGCTAATTCTAAATTACACAGAAGAACAAAGGGCTAAGAAGAGCTCTCTTATGAAGAACAAGATGAGAAAACTTGCCCTATATGATACCAAACGTATAAAACTATAAAAATTGACAAAATCAGTTTGTGACATAGAAATAAAGCAAATAAAGCATCATGACAGAAAAGAGACCCCAGAAGCAGAATCCTGCTTACATGGAAATGAACATAAAAAAAGAGCTGGCCTAGTCAACTATTCCCAGCTAAGCAATTCAGGTCTCTGAACTATACCAAACTATATATAAATTTCATATTCCAAGAATGACAGAAATCTCACTCATCCTATCTCAAGTTTTTGAGAGGAAAAAGGTATACATTACTGAAGATATGTAAACAGGCAAAACAGTAGAGACAGTTACTTTCCATAAAATCCTAACTTATTCTTCTTGTGCAATAGATATAATTCACCTAGACAAAGTGTTTTTGGGATCCTTCATAATTTTTAGGTAAAAGGGTCTTGACACCAAAAAGTTTGAGAATAGCTGCTTCTGAAAAAATAAGAAAAGCAGAAAAGTTCAAAAAAAAAGTGACCATTCAAAAAAAAAAAAAAAAGAACTGTTTTACTGGGGAAAGAAAACATGTCATTTTGAAGCATGAACCATTTTGGAATGCCTCCTTTACTAGCCAGAAGACAACCTTAGTAGAGAAGCACTCAGTGGAAAGGAGCAAACTATCTCAACATCACACCCTATGATTCACCTCCCCTAGGCGCTCTCTAACTTGTTTCCTCCATCACCACCCCACCCTCCCCCAGGTGAGGTTCCTGCCCCATTAGGAAGCCTTCCAGAGCTGTGTGTCCTGTCATAGCACTGTCATTAAAAGGCTCAGCATACTTAGATAAATTCCCACCACTGTCTGAGCTGCTAACTAGCCCAATAGAGGCTTCATAGTCTCTAAAGTAAGTCAGAGTAGCCTTCTATTTTGGGTAAATCCCATTTTTGTTTTATATGGGGGCCACAACACTTGCATCCAATTCTGAGGACCCTATTTTATGCCCTCCTTGACCTGACCTAAGTATCCCATTCCCTGCTTCATACCTCCAATGTCAGACCAGCAAGACATTTGAGTATTACACTTCTTAATACAACAATAGTCCTCATGAAATTCACCTTTCATTGCTCCTATTCCTCCTCCCTGCATGTGTGGGAGAATGGTGGAAATCTGTGAGTGTAGAAACCAAAAGGCATATGAGAGTTTTGAGAAAACTGACATTTCAACTCCCAAAAGCAAGTGCTAGCCCTTGAGTCACCTCCATGTAAGCCCAGCCAAGCTCACACACAGGCAAAATCCCACAAACCTGCTCTGCTTAGACTAATCAAAACTGGATAGAAATGGGCAAAGCTCTGTAATACATTTGTCAGTTTTAAAAAGTATTTTCTTACCATTCTCCCTTGGTATTTAAGAATTTCTTTTTGAAAATTCTGGCTTATCCCAGGTGTGCTTAATGGAAACAAAGGTAAAAACATTAGGCCATGCTTGGACCAGAATGTTAAGGCCAAAGTTTTCTAAGGAACATAAAGGTTGCAAGTTAGCCCCAGGGTTTTGGCGTAGTGATATATACCCTTGACACAAAATGAATAATAATAATTGGAGTACTTAGCCTTTCTCTCTCTTGGGAAATACATTGTCCCCAGAGCTCTCTGTTTAAACCTGGAAAAGTTCTGAAAGACCATGGAGTCCCAAGTTTCAAGTATGCTATAAATGCCAGGAGAATGACAAAAGGATTACCAGGATGCACAAAGAGAAGTTACAAGATGCAAAAGATGGATTTTACTTACTTCAAAATTATGCTTGGGACTAACCATGTAACTTGGAAAGAGAGGGGAAAGCTAGCTATACTTCCTTTCTACCCCTTAGTATATCTCAGAGACATAATAAGTTAAATAAGCTTCTGTAGGCTAGCCTGGAAACTAAATCATCAGCATCTTTGGGAAAATGTGTCATGGTACACACCCCTCTGCCCCCTCCCAATGACTGGCAAACCAACATCAGGCATATGACCACTAGCTACTTAGAGGATACCCAAATAGAAACCTCCAGCTGCTAGGAATGGGAGTGATGGGGGAATGGGGAAAACATAGGAATGAAGAGGGAAAATGTAAAAACAAAACCACCCCATTATGGTAAATAAAGTAAAAGTGGTTAGAGTTTGCCAGATAACTCTAATGTGCACATTTGGCCTGTCCCTCCCTGCTCCTGCCCCACCACTGTACCAACTAAGTGACAGGTTTCTAATTCATCATGACCATCATGTTCCAAATTTAGAATTAATTCACTCATTACTTATTATAATATATACCAATATATTCCTACGGACCCATACTGAATATGAAAGACCTGCTCTTGGGAAGGAGAACCCACCATGGGATTACAAGGTGGCATGGGAAAAGGAGAACACGACATCAGGAGACCTAGATGGACTGTATACAGAGCTGAGCATCAGGTGGATGGGTCCATTATTTGAGTAATAAAACAGACTTAGTCACATGGCCAGACTCAATATTTCACTCAGGCCTCCCCAAACCCCAGCCAAAAGGACCTGACTACTTGGCTATAAGTGTCAATCCTATCAGGAGGCTACATTTTTGAAACAAGCTTTCATCTTACTGTTTTGACCTGCACCTGTTATTAGCATACATATTTTCCCCTATTGTTTCACCTTCTAGTTTGTTTTTTCATGAAACTTATTACAAATTCTAAGTCACTATCATATATACTCAAAACATTAAACACAGCAAAAACTATAAATTAGCACCAATCTGCCTTTCAAAATATATACTAGAACTCTTCTCAACATAAGTGACACCTGTACTATGGTAGTACAGGTTCTGAAAGTTTCTTGTCCCTTCTAGCATGTCACTTTACAGCTCTCTGGGAATGTAGCAACTGCCCCCAGAGAAAGCACTGTTCAGTACCCAGCATCTGAACCCACTTTCTGTGTTTGAAGAATCTCTTACTTCATGAGGCAGAGCTCACTCTTCACTGTAGCTGTAGAAAATGCCACATACGGCTCTGCTCAACCTTCCTTGTAGCTAGGACTTAGGCTCAGGATATAGGCCCAGCCAACTAATCCAAGGGTCCACAGATTTTCAACAGAAGCTAGGGATGAGAAGAAGCTAGGACCACAGGAATTCAGGAGAGGGTGGCAAAACTACATTCCGTTTCCAGAGGCAGCAATTCTGGAGCTTGATAAAGGAGTGTCCAGCACTGATGGTCAGGCAATGCAAGCCAATGTCTGTCCCTGGAAGCAGGGGTGATATGTCTTCACCTGACCAGCTCCAGAGGGTGAGCATATCAGTTCCTGGCTCCATGGCCTGCAAGCCGACTTTTCTATAAAGTAACAACTTTCACTTAAAAGTAACAACCATATTCAAGTACTGTGCCAAATCCTCAAAGAAAAAAATTAAAAAGATAGAATGTCTGACCATTGGGCTTTTAGTATTTACTAATAACAATAATAAAAGGATACAAATAATAGAATGCAAAATTCATAAGAAAGTGATGCAAAGATATAAACACAGTTCTCTGAGGTAGGACACATCAGATCAATGCAGTTATACAAAAAATGAGCCAAAAATCCACATATTTAACTTAGGATGACAACAGTTCAAACAGTAAACAGACATCTTGCCCTTACCTTGCATTTTGTGCAAGCATTTAAAATACAGTAACTAAGATCAAGTCAAAATATTGTTGGTACAGTGAAGTGGTATCTTCAGAACGCAGAAAGTAAATTTGAATTACATAATCAATCATGTGGGTCTTTGTATTCCATCATCCCCAAATAATGTATGCCTGAAGTCTGACAGTCAATATACACAGGCTAAATCCTATGGAAAGAATATATAAATTATTTTAAGTGTTTTCTGACTAAAGAAAAAGAAATAAAATATGCAAATGAGTATTAATGAATTTCCTGTAAAATTAACTGAAGTGAGACCACCTAGACACATGACCTGAAAAAAGTAAGGTAAAATTGGCCACTGTGTTATATCCCTAAACCATGATTCTGACTATGGGATTTTCACCTGACTGCTAGATGCAACTCACTCTACACAGTGCCTCCATAACAAAGTAGAGATTGTCCAACTAAGATTCCTAGTTATATTGACTTCTAAATTACACTTCAAAAAAGGCAAGTCCTAATACTATGTTCTTCTACAAACTCTCCAGGCATGGCATCTAGAAGCCCAAATCAGACAGAAGAAACCAGTTGCTTCACACATTTTTATCTATTCCCCATTTTAGAGAATGAAAAAAAAATCACTCTTATTTAAGTAATGGTACCTATGGAAACTGAAGACACTAAAATATAAAATGCTGGAAATACCAATGTGTTCTACATATTTGCTATCCTATTAGATTTCCTTTCATCTGTCCATAGTGTTTTATCTAAGTACTTAAACTTATCTTTAATCACAATAAATTTTCAAATCTTTCTAATCAAAGCTTAAAATCTACAGATTCATTTTCATGTGTAATTTTGAACTTTTTTGGAATCTCTTATATTTTTAGCATATTAGTTATCTGAAGATGAAACATTCCCAGAATGAATAGTGTGTGAGTTACTGATCTAGTAAAGTATATTAAAATTAATATTCAAACTCATAAAATAAAATCCAAGAATTAAACTCTATACATAAGTATATAAGTAAGCCTCTTAACAAATTCTTTTGTTTCTATCCCGCTTTGGGCATGTCAAATAATCAGATCAGTAAGAAAATCTTTAAAAGGTTCAAATTGTTTTAGCAAAACAAGTTTATATCTTTATTGATTCTTTTCTTCCAACATGCTTCCAATTTCAAAACATATATTCATAAATATTTAGCCTATTTCAACTGATACACTGTAATAGAATATTATTATCTTTTGTCTGTGACTAAACAGCAAGGAGATATTTGTGAACTGGGCATAAATATGAAGTGACTACAGTTTTCATGTCAATTTGATACAAAACAAAATGAAAGACTGGTAATTTTTCAATGACCCGGACATCCACAATGAATCAAGTTAAATTATTTAAATACTCTCCCTAATATATGTCCCTCCATCCCAATGAAATCTTTTTTCTCCAAGCTTTCAGCTTTAATTATCCAGATAACCTAACCCTAGCTGTATTCATTTGACCTTAAGAATCCCTGTCTTTTGTATATGTCATGAAAACAAGCCTCATAAACTTCACTTAAGAAGGTATAATCACCCTCATTTTTAAAAGGAAAGAAAAGCACCAGAGGTTAAGCAACTTATATGAGATTATTCAAACTTCTAAGAGCTGAGAGACCTAACACAAATCCTTTTACTATCATACTTGATTTTTATTTACATATATATGAATATATCATATATACAGGCATATAAACATATACAGGGTATATTCATGGCCCATGAAAGCTAAAAGGTACGTATCTCATGTAAGGAGATGAAATCAAGGTAATCAATAGATCCTTAGGAGCAAAAGTTTACCTCTTGGCTATCACACACTTTCAAAAAGCTTTTAGTCTTATCAAACACAGACATTATACGTCATCCCCTCAAACCCATTGGAACTAGCTGGTGAATCTGGACTTGGAATCCAAAATTTGTTTAAGAATTTCATTTTTTTTTAATCCTTGGAATCTAACTTTCCATATACATCTGAAAAGCATTACCTCCAATGCAATTAAAATTCTACAGTATCTCTCAAAATCTTCTTTTCAGAAGTACCTGGAATAGCAAATCCAGGCATCTACTATTTTGAGAAAAAGATTCTGAGAATCCAACAAACACCACAAAAAGTGATTACAAAAACTGCTCTGAAAAGGGTTTGGGATTTCCACAAATGAACAAATCTGTCAAAGAAACGGTTCTGATCACTAGGTCATCACTCTGCTTTTAGTCAGTTTAACTCTACAGTTTTATAAGAAACGAGGTGCCCTCTTCCCCCTTAAGTAAAAATTAGCAAATCTAAAGAACGATGACTCACTTCCCAGGCATAGATAGTAATGACCTTTTTTTTTAATCGGGGGGTGGGGGGGTGGATATTTCTACTATAGTCACAAACTACTTCGCTAAATGTTTAGTGAGTGTGTAAGGGGCATGGTGCTAAGCACTACTGGTGATAAACTCCAGCATTATTTTATGTAAATATCATAGGAGGTGTCTGAAAGAACAGGTGATCAAAGGGGATATGTGTTAGAGTAGAAGGGCAGGGAAGGCAGGAAAAATTCAATGAGGAAGTGTCATCAGACATAAGCTTGGAAAACTATAGTAAACAATAATTTATTGTATATTTCAAAATAGCTAGAAGAGAAGAATTGGAATGTTCCCAACACAAGGAAAGATGAAAGTATAACGTGATGGATATCTCAGTTACCCTGATTTGATCACTAGGGATTGTATACATGTATCAAAATATCACATATACCCCCAAAATGTATACAACTATTATATATCAATTTTAAAAAAGAAATGGACTTGGAAGTTTGGTAGGACACTCACACAGATAGCATGAGGTAAGTACTTTACAAACAAAGGGAATAACAAACTCAGTAATTAGAAAACTGACTATATTTTTAAAACAAATAACCTACTTTTGCTAAAATGTAGGTCACAATTTGTCCTTCACTGATTTTCTCAACATCACTCTCCACTGCAAGAAATCCATTTCTAAACTCTTTCATAAGCTATCACTATTTTCCATGCATAGAAATGAGGGTTATTTGTTTTAAATATCATTATGAACAAAGACCTAGTTTTGTATCTGAAACATAATAAATAATATCTCCATCCCATCTCCCAAGGTCTACCACACTGCCTTGAACCTTGATAGTTCAAAGCATGTCAGTAGATGACTTAAGAGGCAATCATAAGCTTGACTTCCTCAAGACCTCTCCTTTTAGACAGCTATAAAATTTGCCTGGGAAGGCAAAGCAAAATCTCTGAGTAACAGACCTAATCAAAGTTGACTTATTTCAGTAAATATTACCTTACTTTTTCCCCCATTTTATTGCCTAAGAACCTGAACTCATTCATTCACTGATAAACATTTCTACAGAGCTTAAATGGCACAAGCTAGGAAATCTCCATGTGAAAATATAAAGCATTTGTTTACAGGAAGAAATTTCAGAAAGCCTTTGTTTACATTCTAACTGATGTGCCAACAATCTTTTAGGAGAGATTTAGAAAGCTCAGCTTTAATAATGACAGAAAGCTATACCCCTCTGGGGAGATATTTAATGGCCTATAGTTTATCCCAGAGAGATGAAAACAGATGTCTACATAATATAAATAAAAATACTTATGAAATTATTTTAATCAGCAGTTTACTCAATTTTAGTAACCTTGAAACAACTTCTGAAATTTTAAGAAAACATATGAAGAACAGTAAACAGTACATGTTCTACCCAAAATAACTAAATAGTCCATGAATGATGAAATGAGATCTATGAATTCCAGACCATCTTTTAGCTCACCCAGAATCATTGTAGCAAACACTTGAAAGTTATGAGATTGATTTTTTAATGAGAAAATTTGCAGATATTTAAACATGATTTTAAACCAGTTTGTCAGGAATATTCACCTAAAGAAATGATCACAATTTTCTAAATCAGCAGTTGGCAAACTTTTATTTATTTATTTATTTATTTATTTATTTATTTATTTATTTATTTATTTATTGAGAGACAGTCTTGCTCTGTCACCCAGGCTGGAGTGCAGTGGTGCGATCTTGGCTCACTGCAACCTCTGCCTCCCAGGTTCAAGTGATTCCCCTGCCTCAGCCTCCTGAGTAGCTGGGATTACAGGTGCCCGCCACCATGCCCAGCTAATTTTTTGTATTTTTAGTTGAGACAGGTTTTCATTATGTTGGCCAGGCTTGCCTCGAACTCCTGACTTCAGGTGATCCACCCGCCTCAGCCTCCCAAAGTGCTGGGAAGGCAGACAACTACTTGCTCTGCCTTTACAGTAGGAAAGCAGCCATAGACAATACTTACAGGCATGAGTATGGCTGTATTCAATAAACCTTTATTTACAAAAGCAAACAGAGGTCTAGATTTGGCCTAGGGGCCATAGTTTGCCAACCTCTGTCCTAAATTACTCAGTTAAAATCATGATCTTTTCATTGATAGGGTTGACTTATTCCTAGACAAGTTCATAATATTTATTCTCCCACCCAAGTCTAGGAAGTGGTTGTTTCCTGCTGCAGAATACAAAAGGAGAACTAATTTGAAGCTCAGGTTAAATTCTCTAGAGCCTAGCAAAATTGACTTTAGTGCTATTATGGCTTCTGAGTGACAGGCCAAGTGACTAAGAATTGGAGAAATATATTCTGACTGAGAAGAGAGAAGTGGGAGAAATGATATTTAGATATTTAATCATTAAATTTCTTTTCTTTTTTTTCCTAACCTCATTAAGAATTATAAAATTCTGAGTCAGCACTATATATTAGACACAAAACCGGGCCCTTCATATATATATTTCATGTGATGTACCAAACCATATGTGCCAGAAATTATTCCACTTTTCAGGTAAGGAAACTAAGGACCAAAAAAGAAACTTTGGCTTAAGGTCACAAAGATGCAAAAACATAGCCAATTGCTCTTTCCATTAACTACATTGTTTCTCTAAAAATTCAATGATTTTTTTTTCATTCTCTTGTCTATTTCAAAAATAGGACTCCAACTTTCATCATCAAATCATAAAAGATCATTTGTAAGACATATATAATTTACAACTTAATTATACAAAAATCAAGATTTAAATGGACATTAGGTTCCCACACTTGCCAGCCCACAAACACTTATTTATCAGACCCCAAATATGAGTGGCTTTTAATTTTGAGAAACGGGTCAGCCTAGGCCAAAAAAAAAAAATAGTTGCTGATTAATTGAGAGTTGAAACCTTTCCATATCAAACTATACTTTAAGAGCATTTAGATAAACTCCTTTCTAAAGTATGCAAACACACTTTCTTCCCTTCTTAAAAAGAGTACAATGAAGAGGTTCAAATTATCAATGAATCATACCATCACATATGCAGAAGTACAGATACCACTTACCAGGGATAAAGATGCATATAAAGATACAATTCCAATCTTGTAATTACTAGGGATAAAGATGCATGTAAAGATACAATTCCATATCTTACTGAGGTTTAGGCAATTGTCTTACCACTTACACATACTCTCATCACAGCACCCCTTGAAGGCAAAACTGATCTCTGCTTTGTCCATTTGTTACTAACTCTAAGCCTTGTTTGTCCTGTTTGATCTCTGCAACAGCTTCTAAATGCCACTGCTTTTTCTTTTAACTTCTTCCCCTCTCTACTCCCATTTTATTTTCATCTCTTCTATATTACTGTCTGTCCTGCGACTTCTGAATTTTAAAAAATATTAGTCTTTCACAGACAATATCAAACCAAGTAGAGTATACTTTTCTTTCTGCAAAATGAAGACACACAGTAACTGTGCATAATGTATTCCCCAAATCTTCAGCTCTTCTCTGATTTTGTTGTTGCCTAAAGGGGTCTGTTTCTTCATTATGAACAACTCCTTATAGCTTACAGAAAGATGGGAGCTGGGCAAGGTGTATTTTGGCAGAATTAATTCCCTAAGACTTCCAGTGTCCTAACTTATTTTTTAAGTGTTCTAATTTACAAAAGATTTTTCCTATTCTAAAAAATAAAATAAGATTGTTTCCAGCTTTGAAATTCTATGAATCTACCAGAAATCAATATTATATATAATATTTGATTTTTTGATCTTGCATTCTGGTCTTTCAAGAGAAGCAGTTTTAAGCAGATAAAGACAATAAAGGAGATGAAGACATTTAGAGGGATTCTGAAGAGACTTATAATTATTTTTAAGAACTCTAGAGGCTAACAGAGCCAACTTATTTTACTTTAAGGCTAAATGTTTTCCTTTTCTTTTATTATACAAACATATAATATTAATACCAAACTCATGTTTATGAGCTATGATTAGCATCATCTTTGGCTCACAGATCTAGTGAAGAAAGGGAAAGAATTCTCAGAGTAACTGGGAATAAGAAGAAAAATAGTATTAAGGAGGATGTTACACATCTGGATGAAATAGGCTAAGTTCCAATGAGCTGTACTTAAAAAAAAATTAAAAGAAAAAGAAAAAGGACACCCTACATTATACTTGATCCTGCTAAATGGAAAAAAAATATGAGAGATGGTTATATGACACTGGCAAATTATCTAACCTCTCTGAGACTCCAATTCTTCAAATGTCAAATGTGAATAGTAACAGCAGCCTCCTCAAGATGTTATAAAAGGATTAGTTACTGTCCGAAAGTTACTTAGCCTAGAGCATGACACATTATAGGGGTTTAATTAATAATAGCCATCATGATTATTATGGTTCAAATTCTTTTCCATAGAAATACTGCTAAATCAGAACTTTCATCTATTCATGACTCAACAAATATTAACTGAGCAGTTATTATGTCCTAGGGGCCTACCAAGTGCTGGTCATAGAAGTGAATGACATAAAACCTCCTACTTGTAGAGCATGCAATCAGTGATTAGCACAGGTCAAGGTAAGGAATGAAGAGATAGTGTGTTTAGGTGTCTATAAGTTTGGGTCATAACACTATACAATCTCCTGGGACGTGTGTGTGTGTGTGTGTGTGTGTGTGTGTGTACACATATATACATGTATGTATACATATATATACATATATATATATATATAATCTTGTCCCTGTCATAACATTATACAATCTTCTGGGATGGGACACATGGTATCCTCCCAGTCAATGTTCACCTAAGTCACTAAGTGCTAAGTACATAGTGTATGTTCAAAAAATATTTGTTACATAAACTGTTCAATGATATGAATAATTTGTATGCTTAGTCTGTTTTGCTGACTAAAGCACTATATAAAGTCCACTGGAATACTCAGCAACTCATTATTATTATCAAAACCTTGCCTCTATGAAAAATCTATATTGGATTAATATTTATTTTCTTGAATTGAAACATACAGAAGAAAGAAAATAAAAAGGGGTAATCTGAATGCTTCTGCTAAGAAGCAAATTCCTCCAGTTCAGTGTTACTCTGTTTCATTTATTCAGCAAGTAGTTATTGTAGACTCACTTTCTACCAGCACTGCTGTAAGTGCTGCCATAATAATATCTATCAACAATATAGGTATCTGCCAATGTAAATAATAATGCTTTTAAGTTTAGAAAGTGTCTTGACATATTAATTTAATTCCCAAAACAACACTGTGAAAAAGTATTATTATCCCTTTTCCTAGATGAAGAAATGAGGCTGGGAAGACATTTACACAAAGTCATACAACTAGTAAGCACCAGAGCTGAGTCTCAAACCCAGATCTTCTTGTTCCAAATCCATCATCCTTCTCAGTGCCTCCACTGAGATTCATTTCATCACACAGTAATGAATTCCTGGCTGAGCATCTCTATACCAGTAAACAAATAATACTAATATATTTGCTTATAAAAATTCATCCTCTTCCACAATTTGAGGGAAAAAACACCATTTATCTCTCCCTTTAAAAACACAGGAATAGCGTATCCACATCACGATACGTGTCTAAGATTATATGAGAAAATACTGCAAGAACTCTTTCAATCCTCACAACTACGTACAGCATGGCATATTTCAGTTTCTACCCCCCAAAAAGGAACTTAGAGGAGAACCAACTGATTCTATCTCTGATAGCTTATGCTTTTGAAAGCAGTTTTACTGTTTGTTCACATGGTTTAATGAAATTTACAGATTAGTTTAAAAATTGGCTTGCCCAAGAAAGATGAGAGCCAGGACCATTTCTGATCTTTTCAACAGCATAATCATTCAATTTGAAACAGGACCAGTCAAAGAAATTTTTTAAATAAACCACATTAAGGAAGATGACAGAAAAAAAAGATAAGAGCTAGCAATGAAAACATGAAATGATTAACACTGGTAAATTAGGAACACTTTTTTCCTAGTAATAGCAGTGCCACAGTCAACATACTCATACTAAGAAAAAAAAAAGAAAACCTTCTGAAAGCATCAGGTATGTCTGAATGGCAAAAAATTGAACAGTAATTGTCCAAAATCTCTGAAGTACTTATCAGTTATGACCTTCTACTCCAGCACTCCCCAACCTTTTTGGCATAAGGGACCGGTTTCATGGAAGACAATTTTTCCACAAAAAATTCAGGGGCAGGTGATAGTTTCAGGTCTCATAAGGAACCTGCAACCTAGATCCCTCCACATGCAGAGTTCACAATAGGGTTCATGCACCTTTAAGAATCAAATGCAGCCACTCATCTGACAAGAGAAGGAGCTCAGGCAGTAATGCTCACTCACCCACCACTCACCTCCTGCTATGCAGCCCAGTATCTAACAGGCCACAGACTGGTACCAGACCACGGCCCAGGGTCTGAGGACCCCTGTTCTACTCTACCAGAGTACCCCACTGATATAGAAAACTATAGTGAATATGTTGTCAGCCCAGCTCCCCTCAAGATTGAAAACTCTGATGGTACCTGGGAAGGGAACTAATATTTCACAAGTACGTACCTGTACCAAGTCCCACATTAAACATTTCACATTCAAGACCTCCATTAGCCTTTCCAGTGCCCTATCTTAATATAGAATACTATCTTCATTTTACAGAGGAAAAAACTGGATCTCCCATAAACCAGTAAACTCAGCCTAAGTAAATGGCTATAGAATACCACAGAGAAGATGCTTTCAAACATCAACTCCAAAACCTGTATTCTTTTCAATCTACCACAATGCTGATTACATAAAGGTTCTCACCCCTGATTTCTAATTAGGAGAATTATCTCAAGAGACTTGGAAAACATTTATTCTGTAAGAAACTACGCCTGTGTAATTGGGTCATGACAAGCTTCTGAAATGTAAGTTGCAAAGAACTGAGTTACCTATATGTTGATAGCTGTGGCCATCAGGAGATCTATGTTATGATCCAATTATACTAGGGAAAAAAATTATTGCAACATTGAAGAAGTCTGTAAAAGACAGGCCAAGACTTTAAAATTAAAACATTGGATATTGATTTTCAAGTTTCAAGTTCAGTTCAAATTTATTTTTAACTACCGTGTGCTCAGTGCTGAGGATATAACAATGAATAAATGACAATCTGTGTCCCCTAGGAACTTCCAGTGAAGGGAACAGCCTCATACTTTCAATAAAATATGGTTCATTACATGCTAGAAGGATTTGCAGGGAGCTTAGGAGAGGGAGAGCTTGGAGGACAAGAAAGGGCTCTGAGCAGCACTACTTCTAGGAGCCTATCCCACAACACTCAGACATGTACACAAAATATATCAAGATGCAGCATTATTCATAGAAGCAAAAACATCGGAAATAATCTAATATCCATCAATAAAGAAAGGATGAATAATAAGTTAGGGCACATTTATACTACGGAGCTATTAAAAATGCTAATACATGGACATGGAATGGTCTTACATGCCTGTCAACTGTCATACTACCAATTGAAAAAAGCCAGAGGGATAAAACAAAAAAAATTCCTCCTATTTTTGCTTTAATATGTATAAATTTATTCAGAATACCCTAAGTATATACAAGAGCTAAAGAGTCTTTTAACAACTAGAGAAATTACTTGCCCAAAGTCAAGGAAGCAATTAATGACCAGGGACTGGTCATTTACTAAACAAAACATATTACAGAATTAATGTTTTACCATTTGGTAACATTTCCCACCAGTATGTTTAGAATTCTTAATTATTTAAGTTGTTAGATCACTTTTGGAGGGAAAAAATATATACACAAACACACACACACACACACACACACACACACACCCCTACACAGTCTCCCCATACTTAGTGAAAGGTTTTATTAGTACACTGTTTAAACAACTTTAACATTACTTGAAGGCAAAGTACCTTAAAAGGTTCTTTCATGCAATCTTTGCTCAGGTTTTCCTGTTTACAATACTCAAGTCCCTTTAGAATACGGAATACAGAACATGACATAAGATAGTAAATGGTAAGATGAAAACAGAGATGTCCTTTATCCCTGGACCTCCAGTATTGCTAAAGAGCAAAGACTACTACTGGCAGAAGCCTGATTTAATGTTAAAAGCTTTCCTGGGCAAAACAGAAATAAGAACTAGAATTATTGTTTAGATACAGAATTAAAGAAGACTGATTTTAGGAGCTCAAACAGATCTTAGATCATCTAATAGAACCTTTTCAATTTAGAGAAGAGGAAACTGGCGCCCAGAGGAAAAAGATCACCCATAACAAATAATTACCACTAAGAAAACACAGACAGGAAAGTCTAAAAGTATCCACACTCCAAGTCCATTGTCTTCTCTGGTACCCAGACATCAACACTTAAACCTAATTATTGAGGAAAATTACTTTAATTTAGACTTGATTACCCAAATGGGCTTTCTCTAAGGGATGAAATTACTGCTCAAATCTTCTTTTACAAATGTAAACATAGCCTAAAATATTTACTTTACTACTATCAATTATTTAAACAAAACAATGTTTATAATTTTCTCATATTTTACAGCAATATGGTTATCATGAGACAGAAAATACAGCATGTTATAATCCAGGCTGATTCAGGAGATTAAAAGAAAATTTAAAATCCGCAATCTCTGGTTTCCAGAATGAAATGGCAAAAATGGTCCACTTAGTGCAATCAACAAGTTTTACTCAAAGGTGAAACTACTTTATCACAGCAATACTTTTGTTAATTGAAACCACTTTATCATAAGCCTACATTCATTATTATAAAATTTTCAGATTTCTGGGATAATCATTGAGGTGGGAAAGGCAATAAGAACTGAACTTATGAAACGCAATTCAAAAGAATAATTCTGTTTTTAAAACTGTACAACAATAATTTTTATCCAACTGTGTTCCAGAAGCCACAGAATGTTAAATAATATCACATTTAAAACAAGGCAAGAAGAGAACTTTTTAAAAAATGTAACAATGTGGTCTTTCAGGGGCCCTGCATACGTTAATAGCTTTATGATTTTCTAAGAAGGGGGCATGGTATGAAGTTTCCCAAACATATTCAACCACAGAACCATTTTTTTCACAATGCTCCCTAATATCTACTAAAACCTATCTTTGGCATAGGCCACATGTTGTCATCATTTGGCTCTAGACTGTACAAAGTCCTTGGTTCACTGGTGCTATATGAAGGGTTATGAAAAGGAATAATATTTAAGTAGTAGCTTAGCCCTGCAATCTTCTTTTCATACTTTGGCGGAGAGATGAGAAGGAATTGAAGGTGACCAATTTCAGGCAGTGAAAATGACTCTCCATAGACAATGTATGAAAACACAATGTACATTATTCATGAACATAAAATTCGTATGTCTTAAAGTTCAAACCACTGCACTAATTATTCTCACACTTCATTACATAATATTCTCTTAGAATTGCTGTTAATCAAAAAATTATAAGCTGGGTGCAGTGGAGCGCAACTGTACTCCAAGCTACTAGGAAGGCTTGGTGCAGTAGGATCACTTGAGCCCAGGAGTTTGAAGCTTCAGTGAATTATGACCACACCTGTGAATAACCACTGTACTCCAGCCTGGGCAACACATCTCTTAAAATATATGTGTGTGTGTGTGTGTGTATGTATACGTACATATACATGTATGTGTGTATATACATACACACACACACACATTTGATAAAAGCTTTTAACATCAAATATATACACATATATATGTATATAGACGTATATATGTGTACATATACGTATACACACACAGACATATATGTAGTTCCAGAAACATGTATATATTTTTAAAACATAACATCGATAACAAAAGCACCAAAAATGGTAAATAAAGGCTCAGCTAATAGCCTAAACAGAACACAAAGGTACTGTGAATTTCTGACTATATTTGTTTTGACATATTTTCTTAACTACACTGAATCTGATCTGAATTCAAAGGCCAGATCTTTTTGACAAAAAAAAAAAATGTTCTATAAACATGAGGGATAATACTTGGGTGATAAAACTCAGGATAGATCTCAACAATAAAGGTTGAGAAGCTCTCAAATTCATACCACATGTTAGAGATCTTGAAAGGTCACATTAAAGGAGATGAAACAAAGGACAAAATGTTCAAAGCAAGTGTTTGATGTCTAAATTGTTACAGGTGTGCTGTTGTGACTCAATTACTTTCTGAACTGTCAGTGTGAGTCTGATACAGGGAAGACACATTAACTGACCCCTGATCTAGTGCTCTCCTCTGCTCATATGCATTTTATACAGTAAAAAGGCCAAAATATTGCCCAAACAAAATTCTACATTCAAATAATTCCTGGGTCACCTCTTACTTTACCCTCATTTTGTGGATTTAAGACTCTGCCTCTGGTTCCTCATCTGTTAAATATGAACTATTTCACAAAAGTTTTCAAAGACTAGTAAATAAAATAACATTAACAAAAAAACTAAAAATGTTAGAGTTTTATTTGTCCCAAATTGAGAACATACGTCTTTACTTTGATCACGTTATTCAATGGCAGTCTGCTTCAAATTCAATTAAAAGCATTAAAGGGATTTTCCAAATGGGATAAAAATAGAGCAAGAAGATAGCTTATCATGAAGGGCCTATTCTAAAACCTGACTCTTACATCAGTAAACACAGGCTCAGGCCAGACTACCTAGGCTGCATGCTGGGTCTGTTCATAAGCTGTGGACTCCATGCTTAAGTTCTTGGTGCCTGGGTTTCCACTGCTAAAAAGTGATCAGCTATTGTAAGGACCAAGTTAATTAGCATAAATAAAGCCCTTTACTTGGTGCCTGGTATGGTGAATGTTATCTATTTTATTATCATCATCAAAATGATAATGTCCCATTATCATTTTGGAACAAAACAAAAGCTTTGTTTCTTCTGAGGTAAAAAGATGCCATTCGTCCTTAGCACTAGAAGCATGTAATTGAGTATACCTCCTTTTCACAGTGTTAATCACACTGGAGCTGTGTCTCCAATACAGTTGAGAGAGGGAGGAGAATGCCTCCCACTTCACATTCTATTCTGATCTCTCTGCCTGTCTACCTAAATTCAGTCATGACTTAAGAAGCACTTTGATACTTTACATGTTTCAGCAGCATTTCTGCAAATAGTTCAGAATATGTTAATTTCACCTTGGTTGTATTTCTGACTTTCCAGAGAAGTAGCAGGCCTTATTTAAAAACTAAACCATAATACATTTATCTTCCTTAATCTCTTCGTAAATTTGCACATTTCAAGTGGAATCATGGCAAACTACATTCCCAAAGAATTTCTTTCAGCTTTGTAGTTCAATAATGTAACTGTTCTTAATAATTACAGCACTGAAATCTTCCTACATGATGATAGGACGCTAAATATGCTGTGTATATATATGTCATATATATACATATATATGACACTAAATATGTGTATATATATATGCAGAGATGTGTGTATGCCTAAATTGTCAGAGAAAATCTATATCTGTGTGTGCTTATTTATAGACAAAGTTAATTCATTCCTGACTTTTTATCATATAGTCACATCTTTAGTCACATTGTGCTGGTTCACTCTGTTCCACATATATTTACTGCACTCCCAACCATCTGTCTCTCAGGTATGTGACAGCAGTCACACGGGAGAATGCATAGTGGAATGAAGATGGGTTCAAACCCTGTTACCTCTCCTGACCAAAAAAAAAAAAAAAAAAAAATGCTTCAGGTAGATTGGAATGCCCAGCACCATCTTTGTAAATGAAGAGAGGCATATGAAAAAGATGTATCATACTTATTATTGGTAGAGCAGGTAGTTAATTTAATTCATGAACTGTCGTGATGTTGAGTTCCACCACCCCTTTCCCTTCTCCACCACTCCTACATATAATTTCAAGGTCAAATGCCATGAATACATACTCTCTCAATTTTAAGATAGGTAAAAATTTAACTTCCAGAATTAGCTCTACTCCAAGGGTCTCCAAAACTCTGCCTCAATTCTAACAAACTTAGCAAACACTGAATACATACCTCAAAATAACATTCACAAAAACAAGGGGTCTGACTATTTATGTAGCATATTAAGAAGAATTCAATAATAAATGTTTGAAATGTTTTATCTAGATAGATCATCTAAACCAGCACTTATTTTTTAGAGAATTCAAACATGGAGCTGGCACCAATTCAATCTTTTTGACACAATTTACAAAATCATAAAGCAAAATATAATGACACAAAAGCCTTTTGGCTGGTAAGTACTCATCTGTTTTGAAAAATCATCATCATCATAATCCATTATTTCTAAGAAGGGCAATACTAAGTTAATGGATTTCTGACCACCCCTAAGGTGGAAAGGCTCAATCACAACCACTTGCCAATTTATCTATATAACAGCAGAGAAAACTAAACTTGTCTTTAAAACTGGCTAATGACTCTTCCATCACCTACCTACTTCAAGTGAAGCTAATACCCAGAGCCAGGTCACTGAAGACTCAGCAACAAAAATTCACTGAAGAAGAAATAGCCATGGAAACAGCCACTCCCCTGCATTTACCATCCAAACACTCTGAGACACACATAGAAACTGTATTTTAAGAATCCACAGTCAGTCGGGCACGGTGGCTCACACCTGTAATCCCAGCACTTTGGGAGGCCAAGCCTGGCAGATGACCTGAGGTCGGCAGTTCGAGACCAGCCTGACCAACATGGAGAAACCCTGTCTCTACTAAAAATACGAAATTAGCCGGATGTAGTGGCGCATGCTTATAATCCCAGCTACTCAGGAGGCTGAGGCAGGAGAATCACTTAAACCTGGGAGGTGGAGGTTGCGGTGAGCCGAGGTTGCACCATTGTACTCCAGCCTGGGCAACAAGAGCAAAACTCCTTCTCAAAAAAATAAAAATAAGAAAGAATCCAGTCAGTCTAATTCATGCAGAAAAAAAATCCCTAAAAGGAGCATTTACATTATTATCATGTTGGTTAGTATACCTAGTATTTGCATAAATATACACTGTAAGTTCTCTTTATTCATTTTCATGACTAATTGTAGTATTTTTATAATATGATATCTGTTTCCGGAAACAAAATACCACTGTACGACACTGGGCCAATAGGAAAGGGATTTTAATTTACAATGAGCTGTCAAGTCTATTACTTGAAATCAACTGGGTCAATTGGGTCAATAGCGTTCCTGTAACTTAGGAGTTACCAGAACATTATCTGAAGTTCACCTGCCGTCAGAAAAGAACATAAAACCTCTTACTGGTGAGCACTTCTTTTTTCAGTGTAAATTAATATTGAAAGAGAAATTACTTCATTCTACTGCTGATGAAGAATAATATTCATGTATATTTCTCTGAAGACTTTAAGATCATTATAGACCCAGTACTTCAGAGGGCAAAACAACAGCTGGAAAAATCTGCAAAGGAAAAAAAGAAAAACTTCCAGCTGACCAGGCAAAATC